>NC_000012.12:73217703-73369218 GCF_000001405.40 Homo sapiens
GTTGCTGCTCCTGGTCTTGCTTGCTCTAGCGTTTTATTTTCTTCTACTGGAGTTTTCAATATGTAAAAAAATAGCTGATAAATTTGGCTATTTCTAAGATTTTTCTTAAGTTTTTCATTGACCAAGCACCCACTGAATCCATACAGTGGGTATCTGTATCACCCACTGATACATTCTGAGTGTATCACATGGGATTTTGTCATGTTACTGAAGAATGATAATTATTTCAGCATTACAAACCTTCCTCTGCTAGGGTTTTTGATTTGTTTGTATTTTTATCATTCCTCCAAATGAGTGATGATATCTGGAGTTACCAGCTAGAGATAAAGAGGAATGGAGAGTGGAAAGCATTAGGAAATTATCTTCTCTTTTCAAGGTGACTGCATCAGTCAAGGTTGTTACAAAATCTTCATGATAGCACAGTAATTCTTCAGGTAAAATATTCTTATCAGTTGATTTGGGTTTTAGGATATTCTTATTCTCTTTAATCTCCCTTTCCAATTATCATGGTTCAACTCCTTCTCCACAAATACTCTAAATTTTGCATAAGAGATCTATGAAGCTAGGAAATTATTTTCTTTTTTAATTTGATAGCCTCCTGGTGCAAATTTTAGCTTCTTTTACTGAGACTCCTTGGGTGATTTTAAAAGGAACCCAGATAGTTTCCAGTTTCATCCATATCCCTGCAGAGGATATGAACTCATCCTTTTTTATGGCTGCATAGTATTCCATGGTGTACCTGTGCCACATTTTCTTTATCCAGTCTATCAGTGATGGGCATTTGGGTTGGTTCTAAGTCTTTACTATTGTGAATAGTGCTGCAATAAACATAGATGTACATCTGTCTTTATAGTAGAATGATTTATAATCCTTTGAGTATATACCCAGTAATGGGATTGCTGAGTCAAATGGTATTTCTGGATCTAGATCCTTGAGGAATCGCCACGCTGTCTTCCACAGTGGTTGAACTAACTTACATTCCCACCAACAGTGTAAAAGCGTTCCTGTTTCTCCACATCCTCTCCAGTGTCTGTTGTTTCCTGACATTTTAATGATCGCCATTCTAACAGGAGTGAGACGGTATCTCATTGTGGTTTTGATTTGCATTTCTCTAATGACCAGTGATGATGAGCTTTTTTTCATATGTTTGTTGGCCATATAAATGTCCTCTTTTGAGAAGTGTCTGTTCAGATCCTTTGCTCACTTTTCGATGGGGTTGTTTGTTTTTTTTCTTGTAAATTTGTTTAGGTTTTTTGTAGATTCTGGATATTAGCCCTTTGTCAGATGTTTAGATTGCAAAAATTTTCTCCCATTCTGTAGGTTGCATGTTCATTCTGATGATAGTTTCTTTTGCTGTGCAGAAGCTCTTTAGCTTAATTAGATCCCATTTGTCAATTTTGGCTTTTGTTGCCATAGCTTTTTGTGTTTTAGTCATGAAGTCCTTGACCATGCCTATGTCCTGAATGGTAACAGAGGAACAGAAAACCAAACACTGAATATTCCCACTCATAAGTGGGAGTTGAACAATGAGAACACATGGATACAGGGAGGGGAACATCACACACTGGAGGCTGTCAGGGGGTGAGGGGTTAGGGAAGGGATAGCTTTAGGAGAAATACCTAATGAAGATGATGGTTGATGGGTGCAGCAAACCAACACGGCACCATGTTTCTATGTAACAAACCTGCATGTATCCCAGAACTTAAAGTATAATAAAAATAAATAAGCAATAAAAGGAACCCAGAAAGGGCTTGAGTTTCAATCTTTGCCTTTAGCTGAGAATTTTGAAATCTGATCTTGTTGTTCTCTTTCTTATTATGTTTAGTGTGGTAGAAATAAACATTTTATTTTCACTTGCCCATCATACTAATTTATGGCAGTTGCCACTCAGACCCCAAAGATATTTTTATCAATAGGCACTTTATTTCGGATGACTGTAGAAATGGATTGGATAACCCATTACCCACAGTTTACCATGGAATGACAAATTTCTATTTCTCAATGTTAATTTGTGTTTTATTTTATTTATTTAATTTTTTTGAGATGGAGTTTCACTCTTGTTGCCCAGGCTGGAGTGCAATGGTGCAATCTCGGCTCACCACAACCTCCACCTCCTGGGTTCAAGCGATTCTCTTGTCTCAGCCTCCTGAATAGCTGGGATTACAGGCATGCACTGCCACACCTGGATAATTTTGTATTTTTAGCAGAGACAGGGTTTTCCCATGTCTGTCAGGCTAGTCTCAAACCTCCAACCTCAGGTGATCCACCCGCCTTGGCCTCCCAAAGTGCTGAGATTACAGGTGTGAGCCACCATGCCTGGCCGGGTTTTAAATTTTTAAAATTATTTTTAATTTTTGTGAATACATGTTAAGCATATATATTTATAGAGTATATCAGATATTTTGATACAGGCATGAAATGTGAAGTAAGCCCATCATGGAGAATGGTATATCCATCCCCTTAAGCACTTATCCTTTGAGTGGGGAGCTGTAGGAGGTGGGGATGGCTAATGGGTACAAAAAAATAGAAAGAATGAATGAGACTTGCTATTTGATAGCACAACAGGGTGACTATAGTCAATAATAACTTAGTTGTATATTTTAAAATAAAAAATAGTGTGACTGGATTGTTGTAACTCTCAATGTTAATTTAGATATTCATAATCTTCAGTCTCAAATATGCCAGTGAACAAAGCCTAGAATTCCCTATGCCCCTGAAGGTTTATTCTTGGAAACCATTCATTCAAATTTCTATACTGACTAGTATAAAATGACTAACTAGTATAATATAATATCATTTTCAGTTATAAATAACAGAAACAAATTAAGCAGAAAAGGACTTCATTGAAAAGGTCTCAGCTGAGCCATGGGTAAAATCAGTAGGAAAACTAGAGAACCAAGCTTGGGCAATATCATAGACAGGCAAGGTACAGCCAATATGGTACTACAGAGACAAAGTAACATCTTATGGAGCTGTTAGCCAGCTGGATCTTTGCCATTTCAGCAAGTACTGCTGCCACTGCAAACTCAACCTTTCTTATATTCACTGTCTTTGTCTCATAATCCCATTACATTGTTAATACCTTACAGAAATACCTCATGTAATAAAATATACAACTTAATCATGGCTTACTATGCACTTTGTGCCAGATACTTGGTAGCTTTTTTGTTGCTACCTAACCTAAATACTATTAGCAAAATGGAATTATCCTCATTTTGAACATGAAGAAGCTTGACTCAGAATTTAAGTAATTTGTGGAAAAAAATCACATAACTGATATCTGTGTAGTTGTATTTGCACTCCACTTTTGTCAGACTTCTAAATTCAGGACAGGTCATCCCTCCTTCTCCACCACAGGCTATATTTCCTCATTTATTTTTATTTTGTTTGGGAAGCAAATTGGCATTACTGGTCTTTTTGTACTACAACCAAAGATGAATGCTGTGTTTGCTTTGGTTTTTTGCCAGCCCTGCTTGGATCTACTGCTCAATCTATTATGGATGATATTATTTGCCTCCCGCATGCCAGTATACAGGAAAAAACTTGTTCAAAAAGTAAGCAACGGATATCCAAAGGAGTATGTGTTCATGATGTTATACAATGCCCTAGTGATTTCTTTTAATTGCCCCCTAGATTTCTAGGAAAAATGTTTGGGTTTTACTCTTCACTTTGCTTTTTAATCAGGAAATACTGGGAAAAATCAGTATAATTTTGGTCTGACAAAAATATGTTAAATAAGTAGGGTAAAAGACAAGGTTCAGGCTTGAATACTTGCAAAATTAAACCCTAGAACAACTTTTAAACAA
Source organism: Homo sapiens (assembly GCF_000001405.40). Classification (NCBI taxonomy): domain Eukaryota; kingdom Metazoa; phylum Chordata; class Mammalia; order Primates; family Hominidae; genus Homo; species Homo sapiens. Next base: position 73,221,510 of record NC_000012.12, read on the forward strand.
ACAAATTAAAACAAGCCCAGAACTTTAAATGACCATGTAGTGTAGTGAAAATACAGGTGATGGTCAAATGAGCAATGGCCCAGAGGCAAGGGAATGAACTCAGCTCAAAGGTTATATACTTCATGTACCCAGAGGTTTACAATTCTGTTTTTTTGAAGTGTAATTTAAGAACAGAGATGAAACAGAGAAACACAGGGGGAAAAAAAAGAAATAGTGAAGAAGGGAAGAAAAGTTCCACAAATCTTGCTTTTGTTTTAAAGGAATAATGAATTTACCTTTTATTACCTGTCATTTGAATCATTAACATTTTAGTATACTTAAATTTACCTGCTTTAGGAATTGATTTTTTAATAGGCTTTAGACTGTTTAAAAATATTATTAAATAAATAGAATAGTAACTAAAATAATGAATAGTTTGCATTACTATAGACTAAGTTTGAGTTCTACTTCTACTGCTAACTAGCTGATCAGTCCTCAAAACTGAGTTTTTGCATTATGCCATGGGTTCTTAGAAAGAGGAAGTGAGATAATGAATGTAAGGTAGTTACACTGATATATGACACATTGCTTGGGCTTCTCAATAACTGTTAGCTGTCATCATCATCATGACTGTATTATAACATAAAGTATTAAAATGAATAAAATTAATCATTTTAGATCTCAAACACCAACATCATCATTTAATGACAAATTACTATAACTGTAGCTAGACAAAGAATGGGTTCTATCTGCATTGTCATTCACAGAACTTGAAGCATGAGACAAAAATAAAAATGTTAGTCATTACAAAGGGAACAAAAAGTATCATTATTAATGGAGAATAGAATTATATACCTAGAAATAACTAATCAAAAGGAAAGAGATAGTTTAATAAAGTAGCTGTATCTAAAGTAAATATATAAAAGTCCACATTTCTTTGTATTAGTTTTTAAAATTCAATCATCAAATTTAAAAAAAATCTCATGTTTAAATTTATTAGATTTATAATATATTAATAGAATAATTTTGAGAAAAATATTAACAGCATCTAGGGAGAAAGCAACTATCGGAGAAGTAGGTGGCCTCGGAAGAATTTTGCTGTATGTGTATTGCTTATTTTTTCATTATAATGAGAATTTAACTATGAATTTATAATTGATTTTAGAGCTCTGAGAGAATAGAGAGAAATTCTAATTAGTGAGTAATAAAGAGAAATAATTGTTATTCATTTATAATAAGTTAGCATGACTTTAGACCAGGGTCTATGCCTTTTCAATCTACAATAAATAAAGACAATAGCAGCAGTAACCAATCAACGCAAAACACAGAATACCAAAAATAATCTCCAAAATGGAAAAACTTAGTAAACAAAGCAATTTGGGAAGAATGCATACTTAACATTTTTCTTTTGAAAACTGAAGCTATTTTAAATATCATCTATTTAATGTTTTCAAAGAAATTAGAGAAGTAATAATAAGATAAGAATTTTTTAAAAGATGAGATAAAGCCAAAAGCAACTTCCTGAGTTAAGGTAAACTAAAAAAAAAAAAAAACAAAAAAACTCTGACCATATTATCAAATGACATGGCTCTATAAAGAGTCTTTATGTAAAGGGAAAAAGAAGATTTTCATAGAATAGACATATATTTATAACAAACATTTTAAGAAATAAAATAGAGAAGATTATACAATGATATTTTGGTCCAATTTGAAGAAGAATAAATGGGGCATGCATATGTTCCCACATGGAAAATAAATACAAAATAATCAGAGACTTCAAGAGTGCTCATTAATCCTTCCCTGGCTGTATCTGCCTCCTTGCCACAGGTTATCATTATTCTAAATATTGTGAAAGTTTCTCCATCCCTTTAAACTATTTTACCATATGTATGTATATACACCCACACACACATATATATACTGAGAACCATCTATGATTTCATTTTCTTTTTTATATTGCTATAAACGAAATTATACTCTCTATATATTTCAATGACATTTCTTTACTCAATCTTGTGATCTTGAAATTTGCTTTTGTTGATATGTGTGGCAGTAATTTGTTCAGTTTTCACTCCTTTACGTGTTTCATTGTATAAACACATCATAGTTTATTCATCCTTACTTCTGTTGTTGGAAATTTTAAATGTTTCTAGGTTTCTTTTTGTTGTTCCTGCTATTATTTATGCACCACACACATGCACACATATACAAACACTCACTTGAAATTACTGGGTGAAAGGAAAAATTTATACTTCACTAGATAATACCATTTTACCTGGGATAATTTTGTCTATTTAGATTCCTGGCAGCAGTGTATGATGGTTCCTGTTATCTTCTATCCTATTCTTTAAAGAGTATTGCCAGACTTCTCACATTTTGTGAAGTTTCGGACATAAAATGATTTCCTAGTTTGTTTATATTTTGCCTTTCTCTGATTTCTAATGAGGATGTGCCACTTTTCACATATTTATTGGCGATTTCTATTCTGTAAAATAATTATATCTTTGGGTTATTTTTGCATTGGAGTGATCATTTCTTGATAATATGATGGGAACTACTTTGTTAACAGCTTTACTGAGATATAATTTACATATGATAAAAGACATGCATTTCACACAAGAGATAGGATGAACTAATTATGATGTATATGAAATTTATAATTGTGCAACTGTCATCACAGTTTATTTAGAAGTAGTTTTAAATATATACAAATGTTGTGAGTTTTAATGTTTTTTGTTATTACCTTTTACCTTATTTGTACTGAGGTCAGAACATGTGTTATGTATAGCAATGTTTATTTGAAACTTGTTGGGAATTTTTTTCCATTAATAATTCAAACATACTCGAAGAGACTTTAATTTTTAGGTGCAGTATTCTATTTATGTATATTAAGTTCAGGCTTATTAATTATGTTGTTCACATCTTCTATATTCTTTTTTTAAAAAAATTATTGATATAACATTTCTAAAAAAGAGATGGTAGACATTTTCTAAAATAATAAACTTGTCATTCTGCTTATAGTTTTATTAATTTTTACTTTACATCTATTGAAGTTACATTTTTAGGTACACACAGGCTTAGAATTGTTATATTTTCCTGGCTATCTAACCATTTTGCCAATATTTAGTAGCTTTTCAATGATAATAAAACACATTTTCCCTTAAGTTTTCTTTTGTTAGATTTTACTTTGGGTTAACAATACAAGATATATAGTTTTGCAAATATTTACTTTCAAGTTTTCTATGTCTTTATTGTTCAAGCACATATCTTGTAAATAGCTAAATTGTGTTTTTTATCCTGTTTGACAAATGTATTTTAACTAGAAATTTAGTTCATTTACATAATTGTGCCTATTGTATTATTTAGAATCATTTCTTCCAGCTTGTTATATGCTTCCCTTTTGCTTTTTTACATCTGTTTTTCCCATCTCGTTCTATTTAAATTTTAATTACACTCTATTCACTTAGTGGTTACCTAGAGATTTTTAAATGTTTATATAACTTCAAAAACCATACATTTCATCAGTATGTCCTCATTGTAGATACGGTGACCATACTAATGTTCAAACTTGTGTTACCCCATATTTGAATCTGTCCTATTGATGTTCACTATTTAGTTTCTCATTCTTTTTAGTCATGAACCACACACCATTATCATCATTATTTTTATTTTAAAAACACAATATTGGTTTAAATGTGCTAAAGTTTACTATTTTCTTTGTTCATCATTTCGTTCTGTTTCTTACCACAGGTAAACAAATTAGATATATGTTAGAACTTATTACTTACTCTCCATGATTTTTAAATTATTTTAAATATTTTTTATTGGTTGTGGAGTCTATTTGGCATTCTAGGTAATTTCATATCAGATTCATTTTCTGGTTTATTGAAAATGAATTATGCCTAGCATATCTGATGCATAGTCCCTTCATTAAGATACTAATTATAGTTATTAAATTTAACCATCTCAATTATAAAGTATAAAACACAAAAAGCAAAATACACAAAATGAAAAGTAAACAACTTAATAATATTACATAAAGCATAGACATGTGTAATTAAACCCACATGTATTAGGTTCTTCTAAGAGGCAGAACTAAGAGGAGATAGATAGATAGGAGGTGATTTATTATGGAAATTGGGTCATACAATTATAGAGGCTGAGAGGTCCCATGACAGGCCATCTGTAAGCTAGAGGCCCTGGGATATGCTGTATCATGGCTTAGTCCAAGGCCAAAAGCCTCAGGACTGGGGAAGCTGATGGTGTAATTCTCAGTCTGAGGCCAAAGGCCTGAGAATCCCAGGTAGTGGGTGATGTTGGTGTAAGTCCTGGAGTCCAAAGACAGGCAAACCTGGAGTTCTGATGTGCAAAGGAAGAAGAATGTCCCAGCTCCAGGAGGCCAGGACACAGGGGTCGGGGGGTGTCTATGTGTGGGGGGAGTGTTGGGGGGGAAGATTGCCTTTTCCTTGCCTTTTTTGTTCTATTACAACCCAATTAGAATAAAAAGATTAGATAATACCTGCCCACATTGAGGATGAATCTTCCTCACTCAGTCCTCTGACTCACATGCCAATGTCCTCTGGAAACACCCTTACAGATACACCAGAAACAATGCTTTACCAGTTCTCTAGGTAATTTTTAATCCAATCAAGTTGACGTCTACAATTTACCATCATACCATGTTAGAAAAACAACATGCCAGCACCTCGGAATTCCTACCTGTCAATCACAAACCCTCTCATTCACAAACTTAAACAATTTACTAATTTAATGATTTTTACTTCTTTGCTTTTGACATTTGAATATTTAAATAATCATCTTTAAAGATACATAATTTTGTTTGATTTTAATCATATATTTGGAATGTATTATTTTGTATTTGGCTAATTTCATTCAACATTATGTTTTAAAAATTTACTTATACTTTTTAAAAATAGGTAGCTGTAGTTTTTTTCTCTTTGATACAAGATGATTCATTGTTTGAATATATCACAATTTATTTATTCTATTATGAAACAAACAATATTTTTGCAGATTGAGGCTATTATAAATAATTTTGTTATAAAGATTTATGTGCATTTATCCCAGTGTTCCTGAATACATAGAGTTTGGGGTATATATAACTAGCATTAGAATTCCTGGGTCAAATATTTGTTTAACTTATATTTATACCTGTATTATTGTTAGGGACTGTAAAGGGTTTGACATTTTACCTTACCTCTGAATAAACAAGTTACCCTGCCATAATTTCATGGATTTTGGCAGAAAACATCAGACTTTTGGGTCAGAGATAATGATTTCAACAGCAGTAGCCACAGTATCATCATTGTTTAGCAACAGTTTTCTAAGCCTAAATTCCTAAAAGATGACATGAGCAAAGCCAGGTGACACACATTTAGTGAGTTATAGTAGAAGAGACAAAAACTGAACTTAGAGAACCTAAGTATTTTATAATGGGTAGTAAAAATGCTCGAATTATGTTTCAGCAGAAAACACTAGCCTGTCATGACTTCTAACATTAGACATTGTGTCTTTTTGTACTTTATATAAAGGGTATATATATATATATATTTGTGTGTATATATATATATATATACGTATGTATATATATACAGTCTACTACTTTGAACTTCTTTTACTCAATGTGATTTTTATAACATTTACTTATAATGTTGCCTATAGTCATAAGTGCATTGTTTTAAATTTTCATATAGTTTTTATTTTCATCAAACTTACTTATACAGGTACCATGATTTAAAGAAGCAACTGGATTCACACATGCTGCTAGGAAAACAGCAGGGCAATGACAATTTTCAACCTACTTTCAAAAGTGTTTACTTCCATATCTCTAAATAATATTCTTATATCATTTTTCCTAGTTTTTCAGTTTGAGATATTGTCTATTGACTTCTTGCTATGGAAGATCAGGATTTAACCCTCTTTCATACACTCCCAGACTCCTATTTTATTTACACCTCCCACCATCCCAAAAGTTATATTCTAATTTTGATTATATAGAAATTCAGTATTTATGGTGACATGGCTATTTATAGCTAAACCAATAATTGTCTTATATTTCCTTTGTTTTATTTTCTATGTTCTGTTCACTAAATTAACCCAAAATTTATTGTCTCACTACACTAGAAAACTTTAGATCGTCCATCAATATAATCATCTAAGAACCCTCTCCCAGATTATTCTGATTGAGTTTAGTCTTATCCGGCTATTCTTTAGGCCTGGTGTGTGGACATATTCCTTCACAATTTTCCTAAATATTCTCTGCTTTTTTTCTTAGATTAGATTCGCTGTTACTTGAATCACATATTAACTTATTTGTTATTTTAATCTCTTGTTATTACAAAGCACATTCTCTAAGGAAGGTAAAATTATACATCTTGCATGTCTGTAAATATGTCAATTCTACCTGAAATGCTTAGGTGAAAACTCGATGAAATTTCAGGTTGGAAATAATTTTCCTTCAGAATTTAAAAAGTGAAGCTCTACTGTCTTCCAATTTTCAATATTGCTATAAAGAAAACTAGTGCCATTTTGATTTTTTACTCTGAATAAAACCTTCCTCTCTTCTTGTCTTTCTCTCTCTGCATAAATTGCAGAAACATCTCCCTGTTTGGTATTTTGAAATATGAAAATGTGTCTTGTTATAGGTCTATTTTCATACAAGGTGAGATGGCCTCACTAATTCGTTTCCGTCTGAAAACTTCATTTAGTTCAAGGATTTTTTTGAATTAGCTTTGAATTAGTTCTTCCATCTTCTCTCTGACTTTCTAGTATTTTCATTTTCTGGGATTTAACCTCCTGAAATAGATTGTACATAGGTTGTTGTTTATTTTTAAGTCTTTGATTTCTTAATTTCTATTGCTTTCTCTTTGGCTATACCTTCAAGAAAATCTCCTTTATTTTCCAACCCTTAATTAGTTCTATTTTAAGTTTTTTAAACCATTTAATTATATTTTTGTTTCAAGATTACAATATTATTTCTTATTTTTCTGAGGAAAATAATTGCCTTTCTCTCATATTCTCTCTCTCCTTTAAATTATTTTTTGACTTCGCATAATTGATGATATATTATAAATTATTGTTTTATTTTGTTTTTATTACTATTTATTACATTATAACTTTTTCTTAAATGTGTATTTATCCTTGGCAGTATGAGAGCACCTGGCTTTATTAAAATCAAGGTGCTCTGTAAAAGACATTTCTTTGGGAGTTAGCTAATGGAATTATATTCAACTTTGCATTTCTTAAAAAGATCAGATTTCCAATTGTGAATCTGATTAGTCTGTTCACACACTACTATGAAGAAATACCTATGGCTGGATAATTTATAAAGGAAAGATGTTTAATTGACTCACAGTTCTGCATTCCTGGGGAGGCCTCAGGAAACTTACAATCATGGCAGAAGAAAAAGGAGAAGCAGGCACCTTCTTCATAGGGAGGCAGGAGGAGTGAGTGCAAGCAGGGGAAATGCCAGACGCTTATAAAAACATCAGATCCTGTGAGACTCACTCACTATCATGAGAACAGCATGGGAGAAACTGCCCCCATGATCAAATTACCTCCACCTTGTCTCCCCCTTGACACATGGGGATTACAATTCAAGATGAGATTTGGGGTGGGGACACAGCCAAACCATATCAGACAGATAGCTATTCTTAATCAAGTCACATATATGGGTCTTATCAAAAGCTGTAGGATTAAAGTTAAAAAAAAGTGCTTACAGGAAAATTTGTAGTCTTAAAATTCATGTATAAAAATAAGTAAGATTGGAAATCAAAAGGCTCAACTTTTAGCTCAAAATCTAGAAAAAGAATAGCAAATTAATTCCCCACAAGGACAAGAAAGTTAATTTGTAAAAAAGCAGAAGCGAATGATTGATAGAGAATAGAAAAGAACAATTTTTAAAAAATGGAAGAACCAAATATTAATTCTTTGAATAAAATTAAGTGCCTCAAAATTATTTAAGATTTCAAAAATTCCAAATAAAAATAATGATATGACTCAAGTATTGTTGACATTAAAATAATGTTTGTACAAACTGTTATAATAATCATTTGACAATTGAAATTCAATTAAAAAAATCTTTTGTAAATCAATTTACCAAAAATGACAAAAAAAGTAAATAAAAATTCTGAATAATTTGGCATCTATTAAATAAGTTAACGATCATAAATAAAAGATGCAGATATCACAAATAAAATGTTCACATACGGCATTCAGCAATTTATAAAAAAGGAAAAATATCCAGTTGGGTTTTAGTCTTAGACTATAAAAATGATTAACATTTTAATATATATCAATGCTTTTTATCACACTAAAAAAAAGAAAATTCGGCTGTCCCAATAAATTCAAATAAAGTACTTGACAAAGTTCTTTCCCAATTTATTATAGAAGCTCTTGGAAAGTTAAGTATATAAAGAAACATCCTTAGTATAATTTTAAAAAAATGCAGAAAACCCTATAATTTTTAATAGTGAAATTTTAGAAGCTACCCACCTAAAAAGGTAAAATATGCTTGAATGCTCTCATTGCTTGCATTCGAAATTGTATTGGATGTCCTATGCAGTTCATTATGACAATTAAAATATCATTTAAATCCATCAAAATTAAAAAGAGAAGAGTGAAGCATATAAAGACCACTCCAGAGATCTTTGGACTTTATCTCTTGAGTACTTGTAAGTACAGGGTGTTAAAGAAACTGCTTGACAGTGGAGAAAACCATCCAAAAAGACTGAACAGAACAGTCTCCAGGGTTATCACAGGGCCAGGTCCCAACCTACCAGACTTTTAATTCAAATAGAGGCCTTATCTTAATAATAAGAAACAATTAGCCCTAGACTGAGCAATACTTTAGACCTACTAGACAGAGCAATACTTTAGACTTACCTAACAAATCATAAGAACATGACCCAAAGGACAAACTGTTTCCAAATAACTTAACTGGACCTTGGGACAAAGGTTTAAAATATGGAGAAACAAAAATATCTAGCACATAACAAGGTAAAGTTTACAATGTCTAGCATCCAATAAGATTAACAAGCATACAGAAAAGCAGAAAAACACAAAATATAAGGTGAAAAAATAATAAAACAGAATTAACATAAAAGTTAAAATTAAGAGAAAAGAACAACAAAATAGTTATCATAACCATTCCCTACGTTCATTAATATTAGGGAAAGACAAGACATGTAAAATATATATAAATCAATTTTATGGACATGAAAACCACAATGTCTGAGATAAAAGATACACTAGATAGAATTCAGGGTACAATAAACATTATGGAAGAAAAGATAAGTAAACTTTAAGGTATAGCAATAAAATTAATCCAAAAAGAAACACAGAAAAAATATGTTTAAAAAAATAAAAATAACATCTTTGAGCTATGGAACAAATCCAAGTTGCTTAATATACTCATAATTTGAGTTCTTTAAGGAGAAGAGTAAGAAGAGGATACAGAAAATTATTTGAAGAAATAATAACCTAAAATTTTCCAATCTTGATAAAAATTATAAACCCATAGATTTAAGAAACTTAAGAAAACTCAAGAACAAGAAACTAAAATATAACTATACCAAGGCACATTATAATAAAATAGCTTAAAATATATATACTAGAATATACATAACACCACTTTTCAAAATAGCCTCAAACTGAAATATAAACAAATCTCCATCAGCAGTCAAGTGGATACAAGATGTCACCACTGTGGCTGACTAGAGTCATGCAGAGCTTATCTCCTCCACAAAGAAGAACCAAAGCAGTGAGTAGATAACTACACATCAAATACCGTGTCTAAGGGAGAACATTGGTATTCAGCAGGGAAATGACAGGGCCCCTCTCAATCTTGGACACTAAAGATGGCAGTATACAGAAGGAAGTGAAGCAGGCAGGAAGGCTCCCTACTGTGAGAAAAGGTAAATTAAAGATCCCTATAGTAAATATTCTCACCATAGAAGCCTGAAATTCTAGCAACTGGACAGCCTCCCAGCCCTCTGATAGTACCTGAGTCTAAAACAACTAGCTGTATGGAATCCATGTAACTACATTGTCTCAAAGAGAGAACTCACACTGGGTCTCCACCCCGCACCCTTTGAGCCAGGGTGTTGCAACCTGGCGACATTTTGAGAGTGGAGCCAACACCAGGCTACATCTTGCTCAATAACCCCTGCATCACTGGGGGCCTGACATTTCCCAACATCCACTCAGGGTACTGCAGTGTTGTGGCACCAGCTGGACCTAGTAGTGCAGCCATATCCCCACCTAGGGATGCACCTGAGATAAAAGATACACTAGATACAATTCGGGGTATAATAAACATTATGGAAGAAAAGATAAGTAAACTTTAAGATATAGCAATAAAAACAATCCAAAAAGAAACACACAGCAAAAATAATTTTGAAAAATAAAAATAGCATCATTGAGCTTGGCTCATGCTTGGCTCATTGAGCTTGGCTCTATTCTCTAAGGAACAGATGATCCAGCACATGAGAGAGACTGCTGCCAGGACATAGGGAGACAAAGCCTTTGCTTCCCAGAGTCTGGGAACCAACTTTCTCAGGGCCATCACTGCTGCCAGCAGTCCTACCTGCTCCAGCAGCGGGGGCACAGTGCACCTGTGATCACCACCCAGGGACCCAAAATACTGCCTGACTGGGCTACAGCTGCTTCTGCAGGCACTCATGCATGGTGTCGGGGGTCCCAAGGACTGGCCAGCCTAGCCCACCACCAGCACTTCTAGGGCCCATATAAGCCACTTAGGGGACTAAGAGCCTGTCTGCCTGGTACCCTCGGCCCCCACTGAGGGTGCCCATATACACCACTCAGAGGCCTGAGGGCTGGCCCACCTAGTGCCCTAGTCCCCAGCAAAGCCTCATGATAGACCCCACAAACAACTGGCACCTAAGCCCCTGAGGAACTTGCAGATACAGCTGGCATTGATTACAGCTGAAGAAATTACATGATGATTCCACTATGGTAGCCACTCAGAACCAAAGCCAAAATACCCTACCCAAATGACATTATGGATACATACACAGGAAAAGGTTGTTTTCCACAAAAGCTGTTCCTAAAAGTGGAAGAAGCAACTGTGACAACAGATGCACAAATATCAGCATAAGGATTCAAGAAACATGAAAAAACAAGGAAACATACCTCTAAATGAACACAATTCTCCAGTACCAGACTCCAAAGAAAAAGAAACTTACGAAATGCCTAAAAAAGAATTCAGAAAAAATCATATTAAGGAAACATAGCAACATTCAAGATAACCTAGATAGATGATACAAAGAAATCAGAAAAAGAATTCATGATCTGAATGAGAAATTTAATAAAAAGATATATATTATGAAAAACAACCAGACAGTGGCCAGGCATGGTGGCACGTGCCTGTAATCCCAGTACCTTGTGAGGCTGAGGCAGGTGTTGAGGTCTGGAGTTCAAGACCAGGTTAGACAACATGGCAAAACCTCATCTTCACTAAAAGTACAAAAATTGTCTGGGTGTAGTGGTGTGCATCTGTGGTCTCAGCTACTCAGGTGGCTGAGGCATGAGAATTGCTTGAACTCAGGACGCAGAGGTTGCAATGATCCAAGATCACACCACTTCACTCCAGCCTGGGTCACTCAGCCACAGAGAAAAACACTGGAACTGAATAATTCAATGAATAAAATAAATACGATCAAGTATTTCAACAATAGATCAAGCAGAAGAAAAAAATTCTGAACATGAAAACAGGTTTTCTGAAATAATTCAGTTAGACAAAAAATAATATTTTAATAAAAGAAAACCTATGTGACATATGGGACACCATCAAGTGAACAAATATTTGGATTTTTGGATTTCCAGAAGGAGAAGATATAGGAAAAGACATAGACAAACTATTCAATAAGATAATACTTGAAAACTTCCTAAGTCATAGAAAATATATAAATATCCAGATACAAGAAATTCCAAAATGTCACAATAACTTCAACCAAAAAGGTTTTCTCTAAGGGCTATTAAAGTTAAATAGAAAAAGCCAAAGACAAAGGGCAAATTCCAAAAACAACAAGAGCAAACTGTCAAATCACATATAAGGAAATCTGTCAGACTAACAGCAGATTTTGCAGTGGAAATATTACAGATTAGGAAAGAATGGAGTGATATACTGGAAGCACTGGAAGAAAAAAAAAATGCCAATCAAGAATACCATACCCAGCAAAGATAATCTTCAAAAATAAAGGAGAAAAAATGTTTTTCCCAGACAAGGATAAACCAAGATACTTTAGTACCACTAAACTGGCCTTACCAGAAATGCTTAAGGGGGTACTACATCTTGAAGTAAAAGAACAATACATACCATGATGAAAACACACAGAAGTATAAAACTCACTGGTGGAGCAGATACACAAATGAGAAAGAGAAAGAAATCAAACTTCATCATTACAGAAAACAACAAAACCACACAGACAATAAGAGAAAAAAGAAGGAAACAAAGGATACACAAAATAATAAGAAATGAGTTAAAATAACAGAAGTTCACACCTATCAATAGCAATCTTGGATGTAAATAATTTAAATTCTCCAATTCAAAAAATATAGAGTGCCTGAAGGAAAAAACAAAACAAACAAACCAAAACCAAAACAAAAGCAAAAAAGCAAGACTATATGCTGCCTACAAGAGATTTACTTCAAGTGCAAAGATACCCACAGACTAAAGGTGATGGGATGAAAAAGATATTCCATATAAACAGAAAGCAAAAGTGTGCAGGAATAGGAATCATACAAAATGACTTTAAGTAAAAAAAAACACATAAAATAGACAAAGAAGGTTATTACAGGTCATTATAGAATGATCAATGGATTAATCCAGCAAGAAGATATAATAGTTATTAATATATATGCACCAAAAGCTAGAGAACCTAGATATGTCAAACAAATGTCACAGGATCTGTAGTGTGTTGCTTTTCCAGCCAGAAACCTCTGGGGCTGGTGGCACCTTTGCCCAAATTTTGCTCAATTCCCTGGGTTTATTCTGCCCATTCAGCCTGGCAGCTTGTGCTCAGCTCATGTTACTGGCTCAGATTCCACACTTGTCAAGGGCGAGCCAGGCACGGTGCAGCAAGGGGTATGTGAGCAACCATGGGGTCCAGTCACTGTGCTAGGAACGTGGGCTGCAGGAGGATGGGTAGCTCCAGGCGCTAGCATAGGTGCTGGCTTCATTCAAGGCTGCAGTTGAACCAGGCGTACCACAAGCAGCTTCCACTCTGGGCACTGGGGAACGTGGTGGTACCTGGAAGCTTGGTGATGCTAGGAACCACAAAGCCCGAAAGAGGGTTTCACAGTCCTGGCTCAGGAAAACCCTAGGTCTGGGCTTCCCTAAGAGCCGTAGCTCTTCTCTCTTTCTTGTTCCCCACACGTGGCAAGTGGGGAGTGTGTTTCAGCCCTGTTCGCATTACAGCTCTTTCAGTCCCACCATTTGGCGGGTCCTGAGTTCTTGTCCCCCATCCAGAAAGAATGAGGTATGCGAACAACTGGAGAGTGAGCAAGGTGGAGAAGAGCTTCATTGAGCAACAGAACAGCTCTCAGGAGACCCAAATGGATCAGTTCATCCCAACAAGTGTCCAGCTCTCAGCACAGAGGAGACCCGTGGTGGGCAGCTCCTTTCTACAGGCAGGTCGTTCTGAAGAGTAGAGGAGACCTGAAGTGTGTAGCTCCCTCCTGCATCTGGTAATCCCAATGTCTGTCTGAGTCTAGCTGAGTCCAGGATTTTCACGGGCTCAGAAGGGAGGAAGTGTGTGCTGATTGGTCCATGGACAGCCATAGGCGGGTCCAAAAAACCACCATAAGTTCTCACTCCTGATGGTGGACTCCATCTGGAACTGACAGCCTAGCCTCCAGGCTTTGGGTGAACACTGACTTGAAGGTGGGGCTTCACAGGGGACCCGCCCCTTTCTGTCCAGGAGTCTGTCTGACTCTTGCTGCCATTAACATGTCATCCATGGCACCCAGGCTGTTTGTGCTAAGGGTCACCTGCAGGCTCACACTGAGCTGCCCTCAGCACCCCACAGGCCTCCCTCCTGCACTTGTCAGCACCCAAGTTCTGGAGGGGGCTGAGGTGGGGCTGGGAGGGTGCTAGCGTGTCAGTGCTGCCCTGAGTGTGTGCACACGTGGCCAGGTTGTGACAGTGCCTGGGCTTGGCAACAACTTTGCTCCAAAATTGGAGTGGTCACCAGGAGCAGGGAGAGGCCAGTGAGAGGAAGCAGGCACTTCTGACCCTGTGTGGGCAGAGGGGCTTCCCAGGTTCCCGAGAGCACAAGGATGCCCAGGTAGGGAGCTGTGGCTGGGTGGCTGTAGCTGTGCCTGGGAGCATGGGGCTCCTACTTCACCTCAGTAGCGGGAGGGGCTCCCGCCTGATCCCAGCTCCTGTTGACCTGTGGAACCTGCAAACCCAGCCGTGCCTCCCCAGCTGCAGCCAGCATCTTCCTGGCGGCTGCTCCCATCACAAATATTATCAGAGATAAAGAGAGAGATAGACTTCAGTATAATAATAGTTGGATATTTTACCATCCCGCTTTCAGCATTGGCAGGTCATCTATTAAAAAAATGAACAAAGAAACATTAGGCTTAAACTGCACTGTAGACCAAATGGACCTAACAAACATTTTCAGAACATTTCACCCAACAAATACAGAATCCACATTCTTCTTATCCATACATGAAACATTATATAGAATATCTTATAGCTTAGTACAAAAACACATCTCAAAAAATAATTAAAAATCAAAATAATACCAAATATCTTCTCAGACCACAATAAAATAAAAGATTGATAACAAGAGAAAAATCTGAAAACAGCACAAACACATGGAAATTAAATAACATGCACCTGGATGACCATTGGGTCAATAAAGAAATTAAGAAGGAAATAAAAAAAAATCCTGAAACAAAAACAGAAAAATGACATACCAAAATCCATGGGATATAGAAAAATAAACAGTACTAAAATGCACATTTAGAGCAATAAATGTCTACATTTAAAAAAGTAGAAAGATTTCAAACAAAAAACCTAGTGATACACCTCAAGAAACTAGAAAGAATAAACGACATCCCAAATTAGTAGAAAAAAAGAAATAATAAAATCAGAGCAGAACTAAACAAAATGGAGACAAAAAATACAAAAGGTCAACAAACCAAGAAATGCTTTTTGAAAAGATAAACTAATTGTTAGCTACACTAAGAAATAAACATAGAAAACCAAAATAAAATCAGAAATGAAAAAGACATTACAGCTGATACCACAGAAATGCAAATGATCATTTGAGACAATTATGAGCATCTATATGCCAACAAATTGGAAAACCCAGAGGAAGTGGATAAATTTTTAGACACATATAATCTACCAATATTGAAAAAGGAAGAAATAGAAAATTAGAAAAGATCAATAACCAGTAATAAGATTGAATCAGTAATAGTCTCCCGACAAAGAACAGCCCAGAACTTGATGGTTTCACTGCTGAGTTCTATCAAACTTTTAAAGAAGAACTAATACGAATTCCTCTCAACGTATTCCAAGAAATTGAAGAAGAGAAAAATCTTCCTAAATCACTCTACAAGGCTAGCATTTCCCTGATACCTGAACAAGACATGGATAAAACAAGAAAAGAAAACTACAGGCCAATATCCCTGATAAATATGGATGCAAAAATCCTCAGCAAAACGCTGAAAAACCAAATCCAGCAACACATCAAAAAGATAATACATGATGACCCATTGGAACATTTCACAGGAATACAAAGACTTTCAACACCTGCACATCAATTAATGTAGTACTTCACATAGAAGTAATAAAGTACAAATACTATATCATTATTTTCATAGATATAGAAAAGCATTTGATGAAATTTGGCATCTGTACATGATAAAAAAGCTCAAAAAATAGGTTTAGAAGGAACATATCTCAACACAATAGAGGCTGTATGTGAAAAACCCATAGCTAAAATCATACTGAATGGGAAAAAGCTGAAAGTCTTTCTTCTCAGAACTGGAACAAGACAAGGATGCCCACTTTCATCACTTTTATTTTACATAGTACTAAAAGTCTAAGCTGGAGCAATTAGGAAAAAGAAATAAACAAGTCACTCAAAATGTAAAAGAGCAGGAAAGTAAATAATCTGATGAAAAAGTGGGCAGATGATCTGAATAGACATTACTCAAGAGAAGACATACAAACAGCCAATAAGTACATGAAACACTGCTCAATATCACTAATCATCAGGTAAACACAAAATGATACCACAGTGAGACCCCATCTCACCACAGTTAGAATGGCTATTATCAAAAAGAAAAACAATACAAAACAAATGCTGGCATAGATTCAGGGAAAGGGAACTCTTATACACTGTTGGTGGGGATGTAAATTAGGACAGCCATTATGGAAAAACAGTATGTAGGTTTTCCATTAAACTAAAAATAGAATTACCATATTACCCAGAAATCCCAGTACTGGGGATTTGTCCAAGGGAAAGGAAATCAGTATATGAAATAGATACCTGTGCCCCATGTTTATTGCAGCTCTACCTACAATAGTTGAGATATGGAATCAACAGATGAATAAAGAAAATGTGGTATATATACACAATACAATATAATTTAGCTACAAAAAAGAATGCAATCTTGTTGTTCATGGCAACATAAATGAGCTTGGAGGACATTATGTTAAGTGAAATGACTCATGTACAGAAAAATAAATACCACATGTTTCACTGATATGTGGAAGCTAAAAAAATGAGCTCATGGATGTAGAGTAGAATTGTGGTTATTAGAGACTGGAGAAGGTAGGGGAAAGGAAAGGATGGAGAGAAGTTGGTTAACAGATATGAAGTTACAGCTAGATTTGAGGTATAAATACTAGTGTTCTGTAGCACTGTAGGGTGAATATGGTTAACAATAATTTAGTATATATTTTCACAAAGCTAGAAGCAAAAATTTTGAATGTTCACAACACAAAATAATAACAAATGTTTGAAGTGATGGATATGCTAATTGCCCTGATGGTAATTGCACATTGTGTATATTTATTGAAATATTACCCTGTATCCCATAAACAGATATAATTATTACATGTCAACTAAAAATAATAGGGGAAAATCCAACCGAACAGAAAATTATGGTATGTTTACACAGTGGAATATTATACAGTAATGATTATAAATGAAATACAACTTCAATAATATTTTTAAAAATCTCATAACCATAATGTTGGGTGAAAGATGTTGGACACAAAACACAGTGTCCTGTGTTGTTCCTTTTGTATGAATTTCAAATTAGGCATAGCAATACGTATATTTAAAACTCAGGATATTAAATTATTCTCAAAGAAAAGTAGTGGCTGAAAAGGGGTTGAGAGAGACTTAAGAAATGCTGGTTATACATTATTTAGTGATCTTATGCAAGAAGAGATAAAACTGGATATTATTCAAAGATTATCATCTAAAATTTAAAACATCTATAAACATACTGTTTGAATTAATAACTAAGTTGAGTATGATCGTTAAATGTAAATGTACTAGAAGTATATAAGTAAAGCAATATGGAATTTCACAAAGGACTAAGAATCGAGCTACCATTCGATCCAGCTATCCCACTATTGGGTATCTATCCCAGTATTGGGTATCTATCCAATTTTTAAAATATTTTTAGATTAAAAAAATACCCACATTGTACATTTATCACAACACTGTTCACAATAGCAAAGATATGGAATCAACCTAATTATCCATCAGTGCATGATTTGCAATATGCATATGCATATTATATCTAGTGCATATGCAATAGAATATTATTCAGTCATAAAAAAGAACGAGATTATGTCTTTTGCAGGAGCATGGATGGAACTGGAGGACATTATCTTAAGTAAAACAAATTAGAAATTAAAGTTAAGTATCTTTTTTACTTTTTCACTTATAAGTGGGAGGTAAACAATGTGTACACATGGATGTAGAGTGTGGAATGTTAGACACTGGAGACTTGGAAGGGTAAGAGTGTGGAACAGGTGAGGAATGAGAAATTACTTAATGGGTACAATGTATATTATTTGGGTGATAGTTCCATTAAAAGCCCAGACTTCACCACTACACAACATATCTGTGTAACAAAACTGCATGTGTACCTCTAAAATTTATACAAATAAAAAATAAATATTAAAATAATAAATATAAAAATATAAATGTAATATTTAATTTATTTTTAAATAAATGAGCCATGAGCAACCCAGAAGTAAAATGTTAGAGAAAGTAAATGTTTATAATAATGTCAAAAACCTCAAACACTGAAATATAAACCTATTAAAAATGTGTAAGACCTATACAAAGAAAACAAATTGAGAGAAATTAAATAAACAAATAAGTAGTGGAATTTACCATATTCATATATTGGGAGACTCATTATTGCAAAAATAGTGTCCACCCTCCAAAGTGGGACTCAGTTACAGTCCTATTCAAATTCTATTTGGCTTATTTGTGGAAAGTAATGCTGTTGCAAAATTTTACCTGAAAATGGAAAGGACCAGAAATAGTTAATGCACTCCAGGAGAAGAACAAAAAGGTGAGAAAACTTTCTCTGCCTAAAATTCATGCTTATTATTAAGCATGCTTATTATTATTAAAGTAATTAAAATATGCTGATACTAATAAATTAGAAATATAAATAAATAAAAAAGTCTAAGAACAGAAATCGACCCATAAATATATGGTTACCTGATTTATAGAGTATTTCACTGAAATGCTGTGGGTCAAATAGAGTATTTTCAGTATATGTTGCTGAGTCAGCTGCATATTTCTGTTGAAATAAACTTTGACTCCTACTTCACACCTGATGCAAAAATAAACTTCAGTTAGGTAACAGGTAAAAAAGTGTAAGACAAAACAATAGAACTTCTAGAAGAACATGTAAGATAATATCTTCATGTAATTGTGGTAGAAAATTTTTCTTAAATAAGAAGCAAACTGTATCCATCCCTAAGGGAAAGATTGAAATATTGGATTTTATTAAAATTAAGAATTTCTATTATGACAAGACTATTGAGGAAATCAAAGGAGAATATATTTCCACAATATGTTTGATGAAGTATTTGTTTCCAAAATTATAAAGAATTTCTACAGATATATAACAAAAGCAGCCAAATTTTACATGTGGTGGTCAAAAGACTTGAAAGTCACTTCAGAAAGGATGCTATTTAAGTGACCACTAAATATATTTTAAAAGTACCTAATTTTCTGGTTCTAGATCCTTGAGGAATCCCACTACTGGGTATATACCCAAAGGAATATAAATCATTCAACTATAAAGACACATGCACACATATGTTTATTGCAGCACTATTCATAACAGCAAAGACTTGAAAGCAACCCAGATGCCCATCAATGATAGACTGGCTAAAGAAAATGTGGCACATATACACCATGGAATACTATGCAGCCATAAAAAAGGATGAGTTCATGTCCTTTGCAGGGACATAGATGAAGCTGGAAACCATTATTCTCAGCAAACTAACACAGGAACAGAAAACCAAACACCACATGCTCTCACTCATAAGTGGGAATTGAACAATGCGAACACATGGACACAGGGAGGGGAACATCACACACCGGGGTCTATCAGAGGGTGGTGGAGCCAGGGGAGGGAGAGCATTAGGAGAAATTCCTAATGTAGATGACAGACTGATGCATGCAGCAAACCACCATGGCACGTGTAGACCTATGTAACAAGCCTGCAGGTTCTGCACATGTATCCCAGAACTTAAAGCATAATAAAAAAAAAAATGTTCTAAAAAAAAAAAAGGTACTCAACTTTAGACTGTCATTGACAGGCATTTGTGTTGATTCCAAGTCTTTGCTATTGTGAAGAGTGCTGCAATAAACATATGTGTGCATATGTCGTTATAGTAGAATGATTTATAATTCTTTGGGTATATACTTAGTAATGGGATTGCTTGGTTAAATGGTATTTCTGGTTCTAGATCCTTGAGGAATTGCCACACTGTTTTTCCACAATGGGTGAACTAATTTACACTCCCACCAACAGTGCAAAAGAATTCCTATGTCTCCACATCCTCTCCAGCATCTGTTGTTTCCTGACTTTTTAATGATTGCCATTCTGAGTGAGATGGTATCTCATTGTGGTTTTGATTTGCATTTCTCTAATGACCAGTGATTATCAGGAAAGTTAAAAACATAAAATCATGGGCTAACACTGGATATCCACTGTTTTAGTCCCTTCAGACTGCTGTAACAAAATACCATAAACTGAGTAGCTTATAAAGAATAGACATTTTTAAGTCCAAGATTAAGGTACCAACAGATTTGGTATCCTGAGATTTCTGGTTCTTAGTGTAATCATTTGGTGGAAGGGCTGAAGGAGTTCTCTCAAGCTTCTTTTATAAGGGCATTAATCCTTTTCATGAGGTCTGGCTTTATAATCTACTCACCTACCAAGGGCCCCTCTTCTTAATACTATTAACATATGAATTTGGGGGGTTTATATTTCAACATATGAATATGGGGAAGATACAAACATTCAGATCATAGCACCCAGAAAATGTCTACAGTCAAAAACCAAATGACAATGGGAAGTGTATTCGTCAGTTAATACACTTCTAGAAAAAGAACAAATAGAATGTGTGTGTGTGTGTGTGTGTGTGTGCGCGCGCGTGTGTGGTGTTGGAGAGAGAGAAAGAGAGATTTTAAGATATTGGTTTATGTTATAGTGTGGCCTGGCAATCTAATATTTGGAGAGCGGGTATTCTTGTCCAGGGGACCTCAGTCTTTTCGGTTAAGGCCTTTAACTTAAAGGATAATGTGCACCTACATTGTGGAAGATAATCTGCTTTACTCAAAACCTACTTATGGAAACATTAATCACATCTAAAATATACCTTAACAGCAACATTTAGACTAGTTTTTGATTGAAGAACTAGGTGCCATTACCTAGGAAAGTTGACACATAAAGTTAATCATCACATCAAATTAAATGATATGTTATTGGTAGGAATATAAATGAACTCAGCCTCTTTGGACCTTTGGCAGTATTTACTAAAGCATGCTTTATAACTCAGCAGTTACCCTCACTCATGTATAACAGAAATATGTACATGAGTGAAACAAAAGATATATGCAAGAGTGATTATAGGAGTATTCGTTGTTAGAGCTTGAAACTAGAATAATCCAAGTATCTATCAGGAGTAAAATGAATAAATACATTATGCAACGAAGTCATGAAATACTACACAGTAATGGAGAAAATCAAGAGGCTCAATAATGAATAATTCTCACAGGCATGAAATGCAATGAAAAAAGATGTATTCAAAAGAGTACATGGTGAAAAAACTTTTAATGTACAGTATCTATTTAGGCAAAGCTAGTTTATGGTGTAAGAATTGAGAACAGTAGTTATCTTTAGGGTTGATAACAACTGGAAACTTGCACGGAAGATACTTTTGCAATTATGATAAACTATCATATATTTAATTTGGTAGTGGTTACAATAGTGTGTTTACTATGAATAATTCATTAAATTATATACCTATAATAAGATCTATGGATTTTATTGCATATATACTATAATTCCATAGAGTTTAAACAATAAGTAAAGTTATATCCTTACCTAATGATCTTTTAATTTAATTTATAAATGACAATACACTGCAGGTTATAATTTATATATTATCTGATTCTTGAAGTCAAGAACAAATATGGTACATCTTCCTGAAATTTAATGTTGATTTATTTAAAATTACTTTTACATTGAAGATACTTCTATGTTACAAGACTGTGATAAAAATGTTGCCTTACTCTTGAAGATAAAACATAAGACTTAAAAGACATTTTAATTAAGTCATCAGCTGCTTCAGGCTTTACCCTCAGATGCCCAGAAGGTAACATGCAATGGCCTTCTGTCAAGTTTCTTTGTTAGGGAGATTTGAGACTCACTCCCCAATATTAAAATGAAGTCCAGTAGATAAACTCTTTCAGTGTTAAAATTTAAAACAGAAACATGTAAGTATGAAGAAAAGTTTTACATATATTTTAGTAAAAAGAAAATATCCTATGTTTAATACCAAAGGAGAAAACACGGAGTAAAAGATCAATTAAGAACGAGAACACATGAACAAACAGAGAAAAACAATACACACTGGGGCTTATTGGAGGGTAGAGGATGGGAGGAGAGAGAGGATCAAGAAAAATAACTAATGGGTATTAGGCCTGATACCTGAGTGATGAAATAATCAGTACAACAGACTACCATGACACAAGCTTACCTATGTAACAAATCTGCACATGTACCCCTGAACTTAAAATAAAAGCTTAAAAAAAATTAGTAACATTAAAAAAAGCCAAAGATTTTTTAAAATTCTGCAGCATTCTTTTGTGTAAAATAATTCTTTTGATGGCAAAAAAAGAGGGAAAGTTACTTGCAATGTATATATCTTATATTTTAGTTCTCTTAATCTAAAAGGGACTCTTTTAAATCAATTTGATAACTAAAATAACATTGTTTAAAATTGAGACACTATGTGTACAGTCCCCCCAGAATTCAGGTTCCAGAGAACAAAATATCTTCACAGCTCAATTAGAAGGAATTTTGAAGAAATGCCAGAATTAGCTCTAGTTGGAAATTAGAAGAGAACTTCAAATATCTAGGCACTCTGGTAAAGAAAACCTCTCACTTGGAATTCACATCAACAATAGAAAGAGTAAAACACTGGGTACAAAATCTACATTTTCATGTAGTCATCCTCCTCTCTTCCTTTCCGCTAAACTCATAGCCTCATCACCATTTCACTTGAGATCAAGTCTAATCTCATTTTAGCTTTTAGCCCTGGGTTGTAGATTCTTAAAGTAATAATTTGTGTTGGTTTTTCTTATGGATGAGAAGAGTGCCTAGCATGTGGTTGAGCCTCAAAAAATATTTTTTGAATTGAATTGAACTTGATAGTCACCACAAGAAATCTAGAATTCACCAGCAATCCTTCAGCCTCCAGATTCTAATATATAGGCTCTGTACATTTCCTTTTCCATTTTATATTGTGGTCCCTTCTTAAAACATACAGCTTTTTTCTGTACTCTGCAATCCATTAACAAATGTCTTAATAACCTCACACTCCTTTTTTGTTGAAATTCTTTCCTAATTCTTACATTGATTAAAATTGCCTTAGTACTGAAACATGGTATACACTGTTGTCCTCTGAAGTAGTGACTATTTTTTTACCCTCTCTCTTTGTATCTCTAGTCACAGAGTAGGAGATGGGTGACTGACCTCTTTTCTGCAAATTGTTGCTGCCTCTTCTCTGAAACTGCAGCTTTGACTGTTGTCATTAAACTATATCAATCATCACCTTTCTTGTTGCCGTTTTCTATATAAATGTTACCTTAATTTGTCTGTAGAGACTTATATTCATAGATAATTTTACTTGTTTGTGCCCTAATTTTAAAATATTTTGATATCCATATTGATGATCCTTCTAATATATTTTCAGTTACTTGATCTCTCTTTTGTTTCTCTGAATATTATGTATTCCTTCAAGTTAAACACTTACTCTCATGGTCATAAAACAGTTAAGTCAATCTATCTCCCAAATTCTCAGTTTTAGTCATCTACTGTGAACAACCACCACTATATTTTCAGTTCACTCCACGTTTTATACTCCACTGGCAACTACCACATATCAATTTTACCAACTTTCTACTGTCCCCATCATTGTCATTTTATCACTTCCCTTTTAATCTAGCTTATTTTTCTTTGTTTTATTATTTTAGTCATTTCTTAGCTCATACACTCAAGCTCTTTGACTCTAATATGTCTTTCACTGAACTTCTCTGTGAAAATAAGAACTTTGATTTAATAAATTTCTCTCCCTACCATTTTCTAAAACACACACAGCCAGATAAACATGATTGAAAATACACACACACACACACACACACACACACACACAGGCATGTACAGGCATACTGATGCTTGTCAATTTATGTTAATGATCACAAAAGGGCCCCATGTTTATTTCCAGTTATACTAAATTCCTTTGTTGATTCATAATTTTACTTTCCTAAAAGACAATTTTGTATTTTCTCTCTCC
This sequence comes from Homo sapiens, assembly GCF_000001405.40. Classification (NCBI taxonomy): domain Eukaryota; kingdom Metazoa; phylum Chordata; class Mammalia; order Primates; family Hominidae; genus Homo; species Homo sapiens. The sequence goes on from NC_000012.12 coordinate 73,245,622, forward strand.
TGACACCTTCAAACCCTCTTCTCCTATCATTACTTTTAATGGTAAAAATGGCAATTACTTTTGCACCAACTAATACATGTTTCATTGAAAAGCAATAAGCAAAAAAAAAAAAAAAAAAAAAATCTGTTTTCATCAACACATCTACCAACCTTCCTGCCACTATAAGTACATATTCTGTCTTCTTTCTTGTCTTCATGGAAACATGGCTTTTACTGCTATGTAAGATGAACACCTGCATTTGTACACTAGGTACTAATCTTGCTTTCTTACTCAACAGCTCCATTAGCTCTCCCCTTTATCTCCAAGATCATCAGTTCTCCACTTACCTTCCCCAACTGAATATGCCCATCACAACACAAATAGACTATGGCTATTTTCATTAAAAATAACTTATTTAAATTTTACATCTTTAGGCCACCATACTTCTCCATTATTCTCTTTCTTTCTATAGAAAATCTTCCTGAAATAGTTTTTTATACCCACTATTCTCTTATTCATTTTTAGTCTTTGTCTCTTTGACCTTTCTAGTTAGGTTTTGGCCCTCATTGCTTCAATGAAATTGCTTATCTATGGCACAATGACACTAAATCTGTTTGTCAATTCTCAAATTTTATTTTTCTAGACCCCTTGACAACATCTGATCAAGTTGATCACTCTCAGCCATAAAACACTATCTTCACTATTCTTCCATACTGTCACAATCTGTTGCATGCCCTACTTCACTTTGCTATTTTTTTAATCACATTTAGTATTGCTCCAATCTCTAAATGTTAAAGATGTCCTAGGACCCAGTCTTTGCCACTCTTCTTTACTTTATTTGTGCTCATTTCCTCCATGTTTTTGTCTTTTTTACAACTTTATGTTTTTAATTATAATTGATATACTAGAGATCACCAATTATATATTTTTAGTCCAGACTACCTTCCACTAAATTCATACACTTAACTGATTTTATTCCATTTTTATCTGATGTCTAATAGGCGTTGGAATGTAACACTCTTAAATCCACATTTTTGTTCCTATACCTACTCTTAGCATCTTTTTCGTTATTAAATAAATGGTAACTTTATCCTTCTACTTTTTTGAACCAAAGAATTTCGGAGTTATCTTTAATCCATCTCTCTCTCATTCCTCACACCCCTATCCACCTGTCTACAAACCTCATTGACTTTGCCTTTAATCATATTACAAACTGAACACTTCTCACCACTCTGTTTTATCTTCTTGGATCGTGGCACTGGATGCCTCAAACATATGTTCAAATGTCATATTCTCTGTGAGTCTTCACTGACCATCATATGCAAAACTTTAACAATCATCACATCTGAATATTTCCCTTCCATGCTATATATTATCTTTTTTATTTAAAAATCACTAGTGTTTGCTGATAAAGACATACCAAACACGGGGTAATTTATAAAGGAAAAAAGGTTTAATTGACTCACAATTCCACATGGCTAGGGAGGCTTTGCAATCATGCCAGAAGGTGAAGAACACATCTTACATGGCGGCAGACAAGGGAGAATGCCAACCAAGTGAAAGGGTTTCCCCTTATAAAACCATCAAGTCTCATGAGACTTATTTCACTACTATGAGAACAGTATGGGGAAAAGTGCCCCCATTATTTAATTATCTCCCATTGTTTCCTTCCCAAAACATGTAGGAGTTATGGGAACTACAATTCAAAATGACATTTGGGTGGGACACAGCCAAACCATATCATTTTGCCCCTGGACCCTCCCAAATCTCATGCCCTCACATTTCAAAACCAATCATGCCTTACCAACCATCCCCCAAAGTCTTAACTCATTTCAGCATTAAGTCAAAAGTCGACAGTCCAAAGTCTCATCTGAGACAAGGCAGGTCCATTCCTCCTATAAGCCTGTCAAATCAAAAGCAAGTTAGTTTGTTCCTAGATACAATGGGGGTACAGGCATTGGATAAATATACCCATTCCAAATGGGATAAATTGGCCACAACAAAGAGGCTAAAGGCCCCATGCAAGTCTAATATCCAGCGGGGCAGTCAAATCTCAAAGCTCCAGAATTATCTCCTTTGACTCCATGTCTCACATCCAGGTCATGCTGATGCAAGAGGAGGGTTCCCATGGTCTTGAGCAGTTCCACTCCTGTGGCTTTACAGAGTATAGGCTCCCTCCCAGCATTTTTCACCAGCTGGCATTGAGTGTCTGTGGCTTTTCTAGGTGCACAATGCAAAATGTCAGTGGATCTCCCATTATGAGGTCCGGAGGACAGTGGCCCTCTTCTCATAGCTCCAGTGGGCAGTGCCTCAGTAGTGACTCTGTGTGGGGGCTTCAACCCCACATTTCCCTTCCATGCTGCTCTAGCAGATATTCTCTATGAGAATGCTGCCCCTGTAGCAAACTTTTGCCCGTATATCCAGGCATTTCCATACATCCTCTGAAATTTAGGCAGAGGTTTCCAAACTTTAATTCTTGACTTCTGTGCACCTGCAGGGTCTACACCACATGGAAGCTGCCAAGGCTTTTGGCTTGCACCCTCTGAAGCCATGGCTCAAGCTGTACCTTGGTTCATTTTAGCCATGGCTAGAGTGGCTGGGACACAGGACACCAACCTAGGTTGCACGCAGCAGGGGGGCCCTGGGCCCAGCCCATGAAACCATTTTTTTTCTCCTAGGCCTCCAGGCCTGTGATTGGAGGGGCTGCCACAAAGGTCTCTGACATGCCCTGGAGACTTTTTTTTAAATCTTCTTGGCAATTAACATTTGGCTGCTTGTTACTTATGCAAATTTCTGCAACCAACTTGAATTTCTCCTCAGCAAAGGTTTTTCTTTTCTATCCCATCATCAAGCTGCAAATTTTCCAAATGTTTATGCTCTGCTTCCCTTTAAAAACTGAATGCCTTTAACAGAACCCAAGCCACCTCTTGAATGCTTTGCTGTTTAGCAATTTCTTCTGCCAGATACCTTAAATCATAGACCACAAGTTCAAAGTTACACAGATTTCCAGGGCAGAGGCAAAATGCTGCCAGTCTCTTTTTTTAAATATAGCAAGAGTCACCTTTACTCTCTTCCTCAAGTTCCTCATCGCCATCAGAGACCACCTCAGCCTGGATTTCATTGTCCCTATCATTATCAGCATTTTGGTCAAAGCCATTCAACAAGTCTCTAGGCAGTTCCAAACTTTCCCACATTTTCCTGTCTTCTTCTGAGCCCTCCAAACTGTTCCAACCTCAGCTTATTCCTCAGTTCCAAAGTCGCTTCCACATTTTCAGGTATCTTTTCAGCAGTTCCCCACTCTACTGGTACCAGTTTACTGTACTGGTCCATTTTCATGCTGCTGATAAAGACATACCCAAGACTGGGTAATTTATAAAGAAAAAAAAAGCTTTAATGACTCACAGTTCCACGTGACTGGGGAGGCCTTACAATCATGGCAGAAGGCAAAAGGCACATCTTACATCATGGCAGGCAAAGGAAAATGAGAACCATGTGAAAGGGGTTTCCCCTTATAAAACCATCAGCTCTCATGAGACTTATTCACTACCTCGAGAACAGTATGGGGAAAACTGCCTCCATGATTCAATTATCTCCACTAGTTCCCTCCCACAACACTTTGGAATTATGGGAGCTACAATTCAAGATGATATTAGGGTGGGGACACAGCCAAACCATATCAATTAACTTACTTTATATTTTGCTTATTTTTTTAATTGCTTTTCCCTTTACTACAGTATAAGTTCTATGAGGGCAGGGGTTTATGTTGCTTTTGTTTGTGGCTGGATATAGATTACATGACACCACTAGTCATACACCAGGGCTAGACATTTTAGTTGAAGGAATAAAGAAATGAATAAAATGTCTAGAATGTTGTCAATCTTACAAACAATTCTTACAAATTATCATAACAGTACAAAATAAGATAAGCATAAAGCTTGAATTGAGTCTTATAAATAAATGCTGTAGAAAAAATAGAGCAGTATGTATCAAAAGATTTGAATATGCAATTTTCTGGCTTAATAGTTCTACCTCTAGGAATTTACCCTAGATATAAACATGTTCATTGCAACAATGCATATATATGTACAAGAATAAAAGAAATTCATTTAAATAAATTAGTTGATATTATGATAATTACATAATGTGTATTTATTGAAAATGGGTTGATATTCTCTGTCTCTCAAAAATACTGCCAATTAAAAGTATATATTAACTTATTTTTTACTTTATTTTTGAAAGCAGGTTTAGATTCACAGTAAAATTGAGTGGTAGGTACAGAGAGTTCTCATATACTCACCTTCCCACACATGCACAGCCTCACTCTACTATCACTATCCAGAGTGATATATATGTTACAATACCAGTACATTGAGCCTATATTGACACATCATTATGATCTGAAAATAAACTGTTATAAGATATTTTTTGTAAGCCTTATGGCACCTCAAAGTGAAAAACCCATAATAAATACCTACAAAAAAAATCAAGGAGTCAAAACATACAACTACAGAAAAATCACTTAACCACAAGGAAGACAGTGAGAGAAGAAAATAGGAAGAAAGCATCTACAAAACAACTGGAAAACAATTAACATAATGGCAGCAATTAAGTAATTACCTAGCAGTAATTACCTTGAATGTAGATGAATTAAGTTTTTCAATTAAAAGACATAGAGTGGCTAAATAGATTAAAACAAACAAACAAAAAACAAGACCCAGCTATATGCTGCCTACAAAAGATTCACTACAACTGTAAAAACACATAGACTGAATGTGAAGGGATGGAAAAAAAATATTTCATGCAATAAAACAACCCAGATATGTGTAGGAGGAGCTATATTCATGTCATACAAAATAGTCTTTCAGTCAAAAACTGCAAAGAGAGACAAAGAATGTTATTATATAATGATGAAGGGGTCATTACAGAAGAGGATATAACACCCAACATCAGAACACCCAACATCATATATCCACCCAACATCAGAACACCTAAATATATAAAGTAAATATTAATAGCTCTAAAAGGAGAGATTGACTACAATACAATAATAGAAGGGTACTTCAGCACTCCAGTTTTAGCAATAAATGGATTATGCAGACAGAAAGTTGACAAGAAAACACCAGACATAAGCTACATTCTAGAACAAATAGACCTGACAGGCATATACAGAACATTCCATCTAGCACCTACAAAATACACATCCTTCTCAATTGCACATGCAACATTCTCCAGGATAGATCTCATGTTATGATGGTTAATACTGCATGTCAACTTGATTGGTTTGAAGGCTGCAAAGTATTGATCCTGGCTGTGTCTCTGAGGGTGTTGCCAAAGGAGATTAACATTTAAACCGGTGGGCTGGGAAAGACAGACCCATCCTTAATCTGGGTGGGCACAATCTAATCAGCTGCCATTGTGGCCAGAGTACAAAGCAGGCAGAAGAACATGAAAAGACCAGATTGACTTATCTTCCCAGCCTACATCTTTCTCCCATTCTGGATGCTACCTGCTTCACATATTGGACTCCAAGTTCTTCAGTTTTGAGATTGGGACTGGCTTCTTTGCTCCTCAAATTGCAGATGGCCTATTGCTGTAGCTTGTGATCCTGTGAGCTAATACTCCTTAATAAACTTGATATCACTTTATTTTATATATACATATATATATATCCTTTCTCTCTATATATCCTCTCTCTATATAAAATATATATCCTATATATATATCCTCCCTATATATAAAATATATATCCCATATATACATCCTCTATATATATAAAATATATATCTTATATGTATATACCCTATATATATAAATATATAATAATCTCCTTTTAGTTTTATCCTTCTAGAGAACCCTGACTAATACAGATTTTGGTACCAGGAGTGGTTCTAGAGGAACAGAATATAAAAGATAAAGTTCTTTGATTGGTTTTGGAGTTTCTAGAGTTGGAAGGTTAATATGATTAGACCCCAAAATGCTAAGGACTCTACCTCTAATGGTATGGAGAACACCGATAGTCCTTGGGGTAAACTGCTTAGAAACTTATGCAAAATAAATGCATCTGGCACTCCTGATTCACCACTCAAGAGAGGTAAGGAGTTTAGTGACTCTCTATATAATATCTTTGACTATATTAGAGAACCAAGGAACATAATGAAGTTGGATGGTTGCTCTTAAGTTCACTGGACAAAGTGATGAAATAAAATGATGGACTCAGGGATTCTAACTCCAAGCTTCAGAAGCAGACACTGAGCCTCAAACCTGCTAAAATCGCCTTGAGTGAGAGTCTTATCTCCTGCAGAAAAAAAGCTGAAATTGTGGAAAAACAGACACAAGCACTTATCATGTGAGTGGCTGACCTGTAACAAAAGGTGCAGGTACAGCTTTGCCAGGTGTCTACTGTTAAAGTAAGGGCATTGATTGGATCAGGCTGAATTTATTGGTTTGGACCCACTCAATAGGGAATCTGCATTTAATGTTGCAGCTTAGGGAGTTAAAAAACATTTGAATAGTTTATTTGCTTGGTTAGCTAAAACATGGATTAAAAGATGGCCCACTGTGAGTGAGCTGGAAATGCCTGATCTCTCTTGGTTTAATGTAGAGGAAGGAATCCAAAAGCTTAGGGAAATTGGGATGCTGGAGTGGATTAGTCACTGAGACCTACTCATCCCAGCTGGGAGGGTCCAGAAGATATACCCTTAACCAATGCTTTGCTAAATAGATTTGTAAGAGCAGGACCTGCATCTTTGAAGAGCCCTGTAATTGCTCTTCTCTGTATGTCAGATCTAACAGTAGGAACTTCAGTCACTCAACTAAAAAATTTAAATGCAGTGGGAATAATTGCATCCCAAGGTGGCAGAGGCCAAGTGGTGGCACTCAACTGTCAAAGGCAAGGAGGGTGTAGCTACTGTAATGGACAGCAAAGGCAAGGCAGCAATCACATAATAGTGTAGGGCTCTGGCATTGGCTAATTAATCACAGTATTCCTAGAAGTGAAATTGAATGGAAGCCTACTGCATTCCTACTTAATTTATATAAGCAGAAAACTTCCAGGTTGAGTAGATGAAAGACTAATTTGAATTAAAAGAAAAGAGAATCACAGCCCCTCAATCAATTTCCAGACTTGAGTCAGTTTACAGACCCAGAACCTCTTGGTTGAAGGGAAGGCCAAGACCCCTTGAGGAAGGACCCCACTACCATACGAAAAATTATGCTGTTAATCTTTCTCCCATCCTTCCCCAATGAGACCTCCAGCCTTTTACCAGGGTAACTATGCAGTGGGAAAAGGAAAATGATCAGACATTTCAGAGACTACTGTATACTGGCTCTGAGCTGACTGATTCCCAGGGACCCAAAACATCATTACGGTCCTCCAATTAAAGGAAGGGATTATGGAGGTCAGGTAATTAATGGAGTTTTAGGTTCGACTTACAGTGGGTCCAGTGCATCCCCAGACTCATCCTGTGGTCATTTGCCCAGTATCAGAAAGCATAATTGGCATAGACATACTTAGCAACTGGCAGAACCCCCAAGTTGGCTTTCTAACTGGCAGGCCAAGGGCTATTATGGTGGGAAAGGCCAAATGGAGGTTACTAGAGCTTCCTCTACCTAGAAAAATAATAAATAAAAAACAATATCACATCCCTGAAGGGATTGTAGAGATTAGTGCCACCATCAAATGCTTGAAAGATTCAGGGGTGGTGATTCCCGCAACTTCCCATTCAACTCTCCTATTTGGCCTGTGAAGAAGACAGATGGATCTTGGAGAATGACAGTGGATTATCATACATTTATCCAAGTGATGACTCCAATTGCAGCTGTTGTACCAGATGTGGTTTCATTGCTTGAGCAAATTAACACATCTCCTGATACCTGGTATGCAGCCATTGACTTGGAAATGCCTTTTTCTCCATTCCTGTCCATAAGGCCCACCACAAGCAATTTGCCTTCAGCTGGCAAGGTCACCAAAATACCTTTACTGTCCTACCTCAGGGGTATATCAACTCTCCGCTTTGTTTCATAATCTTTGAAGAGAACTTAATCTGTTTTTACTTCCACAAGATATCACACTGGTTCACTAAATTGATGACATTATGCTGATTGGATCCGGTGAGCAAGAAATTGGAAACACACTGAACTTTTTGGTGAGAGATTTGTATGCCAGAGGATGGGAAATAAATCCGACTAAAATTCTGGGACCTTCTATCTCAGTAAAATTTCTAGGTTATCTCATGGTGTGGGGCCTATTGAGGTATTTCTTCTAAGGTGAAGGATAAGTTGCTGTATTTGGCCCCTACTACAACCAAGAAAGAGGCACAACACCTAATGGGACTATTTGAATTTTGGAAGCAACACATTCCTCATCTGGGTGTGTTACTCTGGCCCATTTATTGAGTGACGCTTTCAGGGCTGCCAGTTTTTATGGGATCCAGAACAGAAGAAGGTTCTGCAACAGGTCCAGGCTGCTGTGCAAGCTGCTCTGCCACTTGGGCCATATGACCCAGCAAATCCAGTGGTGCTTGAGGTGGCAGTGGCAGATAGGGAAGCTGTTTGGACCCTTTGGCAAGTCCCCACAGGTGAATCACAGTGGAGGCCTCCAGGATTTTGGAGCAAGGCCCTGCCATCTTCTGCAGTTAACTACTCTCCTTTTGAGAGACAGCTCTTGGCCTGTTACTGGGCTTTGGTTGAAATTGAACATTTGACAATGGGTCATCAAGTCACCATGTGACCTGAACTGTCTATCATGAACTGATTACTTTCTGACCCATCTAGCCATAAAGTGAGATGTGCACAGCAACATTGCATCATCAAATGGAAGTGGTATATATGAGACCAGGGTTGAGCAGGTCCTGAAGGCACAAATAAGTTACATGAGGAAGTGGCTCAAATGCCCATGGTCTCCACTCCTGCCACTCTGACTTCTCTCCCCTACCCTGTGACGATGGCTTCATGGAGTGTTCTCTATGATCCATTGACAGAGGAAGAGACGACTAGGACCGGATTCACAGATGGTTCTGCACAATATGCAGGCACTGCCCTTGATAATGGACAGCTGCAGCACTACAGCCCGTTTCTAGGACATCCTTGAAGAACAGAGGTGAAAGGAAATCTTCCCAGTGGGCAGAACTTCAGGTAGTGCACCTGGTTGTGCACTTCGCATGGAAGGAGAAATGGTCAGATGTGAGATTATATACTGAATCATGGGCGCTAGCCAATAGTTTGGCTGATTAGTCACAGACTTGGAAAAAGCATTATTGGAAAATTGTTAAAAAAAAGAAATTTGGAGAAGAGGTTTGAGGTGGACATCTTTGAGTTCTCAAAAACTGTGAAGATTTGTATCCCATGTGAATGCTCACCAAAGGGGGACCTCAGCAGAGAAGGACTGTAATAATCAAGTGGATAGGGACTCACTCTGTGCACACCACTCAGTCTCTTTCCCCAGCCACCTCTGTCATTGCCCAATGGGCCCATGAACAAAGTGGCCATAGTGGCAGGAATGGAGGTTACTCATTGGCCCAGGAACATGGACTTCCATTCAGCAAGACTGACTATGCTACAATCACTGCTGAGTGCCCAATTTGCCAGCAGCAAAGTCCAACACTGAGCCCTTGATATGGCACCATTCCTCGGGGTGATCAACCAGCTACTCAGTGGTAGGTTGATTATATTTGGATCTGTTCCATCATGGAAAGGACAGAGGTTCATCCTCACTGGAATAGACATTTACTCTGGATATGGGTTTACCTATCCTGCACACGATGCTTCTGCCAAGACTACAATCCGGGACTCATGGAATGCCTTATCCACCATCATGGTATTCCACACATCATTGCCTCTGAACAAGGTACTCACTTTATGGCTAAAGAAGTGCAACAGTGGGTTTATCCTCATGGAATTCCCTGGTCTTACCATGTTCCCCATCATCCTGAAGCATCTGGATTGATAGAATGGTGGAATAGCCTTTTGAAGTCACAATTACAATGCCAATTAGGTGACAATACTTTGCAAGTCTGGGTGAAAGTTCTCCAGAAGTCTGTGTATGCTCTGAATCAATGTACAGTATGTGGTACTGTTTCTCCCATAGCCAGGATTCACGGGTCCAGGAATCAAGGGATGGAAATGGAGGTGGCACCACTCACCATCACCCCTAGTGATCCACTAGCAAAACTTTTGCTTCTTATTCCCACAACATTATGTTCTGCTGGCCTAGAGGTTTTAGTTCCAGAGGGAGGAATGCTGCCACCAGGAAACACAACAATGATTCCATTAAACTAGAAGTGAATATTGCCACCTGGACACTTTGGGCTCCTCTTACTTTCAAGTCAACAGGCTAAGAAGGGAGTTACAGTATTGGCTGGGGTGATTGACCTGGACTATCAAGGTGAAATCAGTCTACTACTTCACAAGGGAGGTAAGAAAGAGTATGCGTGGAATACAGGAGATCCCTTGGGGAGTCTCTTGGTATTACCATTCTGTGATTAAGGTCAATGGGAAATTACAATAACCTAATCCAGGCAGGACTACAAATAGCCCAGACCCTTCAAGAAAGAATGTTTGGGTCACTCCACCAGGAAAAAAACCCACGACTTGCTGAGGTGCTTGCTGAAAGCAAAGGGAATCAAAATGGGTAATAGAAGAATGTAGTCATCAATACCAGTTATGATCACATGGCAAGCTGTACAAATGAGGACTATAATTGTCATGAGTATTTCCTCCTTCTTTTATTATAAACATGTTTGTGAATGTATACACTTGTACTAAGAAAATACCTTCATTGTATTGCCTTTATCCTTATCATGTGACATAAGACTTATTGACTTCATATTAGCATTTAAGTGTTAACTATGTAATAGCATTTGGATTGAGGATTGTTGTGTTCCAGTTGTACAAAGGATAGTTGTATTATGTTAGTCATAATTAAGATCTTATCATTGTATTTATTTGAAGATTATGTGTGCTCTCAGGAGATGTGCATGGGTTCGAGTTGACAAGGGGTGGACTTGTGATGATTAGCACTGAGTGTCAACTTGATTGGATTGAAGGATGCAAAGTATTCATCCTGGGTGTGTCTGTGAGAGTGTTGCCAAAGGAGATTAACCGTTGAGTCAGTGGGCTCAGGAAGGTAGACCCACCCTTAATCTGTGTGAGCAAAATCTAATCAGCTTCCAGCATGGCCAGAATAAAAAGCAAGCAGAAGAATGTGAAAATAGCAGACTGGCTTATCCTCGCAGCCTACATCTTTCTCCTGTGCTGGATGCTTCCTGTCCTCGAACACTGGACTCCAAGTTTTTCAGTTTTGGGGCTTGGACTGGCTTCTTTGCTCCTCAGCTTGCAGACAGCCTATTGTGGGACCTTGTGATCATGTGAGTTAATAACTCCTTAATGACCCCCCTTTTACATATATATGTATATAACTATCGTATTAGTTCTGTCCCTCTAGAGAACCCTAATACACATGTTAAGGCACAGAACAAATCTTAACAAATTTAAGAATATTGAAATTATATCAAATATATTTTCTAACCACAAAGAAGTAAAACAGGAGAAACTTAGAAAATCCACAAATACATGAAAATTAAAGCACATGCTTTTGAATAATCAATGGGTCAATAAAGTAATTAAAAAGGTAATTTAGAAATGTATTAAGATAAATGAAAATCAAAACACAACATAGTTAAACCTATGGGATACAACAGAAGCAATCCTAACTAGAAAGTTTATGCAAATAAATACCTATATCATAAAAAGAAGAAAGATCTCAAATAAACAACCTAACACTGCACTTCAAAGAACTGGAAAAACCATAACAAACTAAGCCAAAAATTATTACAAGGATGGAAATAATAAATATCTGAGTAGAAAAAAATGAAATAGAGACTAGAAAAGCAATAGAAAATATCAACAAAATAAACTGTTTTTTGTAAAAGTAAACAAAATTAACAATCTTTAGTTAAATAGAAAAAATATTCACATAAATAAAATCAGGGTTGAAAAATGAGACATGAGACATTAAAACTGTGACCATAGAAATAAAAAAATTATAAAAAAACTATTAGAAACAGTTGAATACCAAAAAATTGGACAAAATGGAAAACTTCCTGGACACGTACAACCTATGACAATTGAATTATGAAAAAACAGAAAATTTGAACAGACCAACAACAGGTAAGGAGATTGAATAGGTAAATGAAAGGTCTACCATTAGAGAAAAGTCCAGGACCTGATTGCTTTACTGCTGAGTTCTACCAAACATTTTTTTAAAAAGCTAGCACCAATTATTTTAAAATGCTTCCAAAGAATTAAAGCAAAAGTTATGTTTCTGAACTCATTTTCCGTGCCAGCATTCACATGACACAAAAACCAAAGACACAACAACAAAAAAGGCAACTACAGGCCAGTATCCATGATAAACATAGATTTTTTTAAAAATCCCCAACAAAATACTATTAACCCAAATTCAACAGCACTTTTAAAAAAAATTCACTATGATCAAGAGGGATTTATTCTAGGAATGGAAAGATGGTGCAACATATGAAAATCAATAATCATGATACATGGTATTAACAGAATGAAGAACAAGATATCATATGATTGCTTTAACCTGCAGAGAGAAAGCATTGAACAAAATTCAACATTCCTTCACCTTAAAAACTTTCATCAAATTATAGATAGAAGAAATTTACTTCAACACAATAAAGGCCTCATATGATGAATCCACAGCTAACATCACAGTCAACAGGAAAAGCTGAAAGCCTTTTCTCTAAGATCTGTTGAAATATAAGGATGCTCGCCTTCAAGACTTTTATTCAACACAGTACTAGAAATTCTAGCCAAAACAGTTAGGCAAGGGAAAAAAATAAAAGAGCATCCAAATTGGAAAAGAAGAAGTTAAATTGTCTCTGTTTGGATATGACATGATCTTATCTATAGAAAACCCTAAAAACTTCACATAAAAAACCTCTTAGAACTAATAAATGAATACAGTAAAGTTGCAGGATACAAATCAACATACCAAAATCAGTAGCATTCTATACACTAATTGTGAACTATCTGAAAAAGAAATCCAGAAAACAAACACATTTAAAATGGCTATAAAAATACTTAAAAATGAATGTAATCAAAGAGGTGAAATATCTTCTCACTGAAAACTATGAGACATTAATGAAAGAAATTGAAGATGACATGGATTGAAAAAATTAATGTTGTTAAAATGTTGATACTACCCAAAGAGATCTACAGATTCAATGCAATCCATATGACAATACCAATGTCATTCTTCACAGAAATTAAAAAAAAGTCCCAAAGTTTGTATATAACCACAAAAGACGCTGAATATCCAAAGCATTCTTGAGCAAAAATAACAAAGCTGAAGGCATCATTCCTGACTTCAAAGTATATCACAAAGCTATAGTAACCAAAACAGAATGATACTGGCATCAAAACAGACACACAGAACAATGGAATACAATAGAGATTTCAGAAGTAAATTCATGCATTTAGAGCCAACTAATTTTTAGCATAATTGTCAAGAATACACAATGGAGAAAGGAAAATATCTTCAATAAATAGTGTTAGGAAAACTGGGTATCCATATGCAGAAGAATGGAATGAAGCACTCATTTCTCACCATATATAAAAATCAAGTCAAAAGGGATTAATGACTTAAGTGTAAGACTTGAAACTATGAAACTACTCAAATAAAACATAGGGAAAAAGTCTCCATGACATTGATCTAAACAATATTTTTCCACAGATTACTTCACAAGTTCAGGCAATAAAAGCAAAAATGGACAAACATGATTACATCAATTTAAATAGTTTCTTCCCAGCAAAGAAAATGATTTAAGAAAGTGAGGAGACAACCTAAAGAATGGGAGAAAATATTAGCAAACTCTACTCCTGTAAGGGGTTAATATTCAAAATATATAAAGCACTCAGAGAATTCAATAACAAAAACACAAATAGTCCAATTAAAAAGTGGACAAAAGACCTGAGTAATCATTTCTCAAAAAAAGACATACAGAAGACCAGCAGATATATGAGAAAATCCTCAATATTATTATTCAGTAGAGAAACATACATCAAAATCACAATGAGACATCACCTCACACCTGCTAAAATAATTATCAAAAATACAAAAGATAAGTGTTGAAGAGAATGTGGAAACCCTTGCACACTGTTGGTTGAAATGTAAATTAGTACAGTCATTGTGAAAAACGGTATAAAGTATCTCTAAAATTTAAAAATAGAACCACGATATAACCCAGCAATCTCACTTATATCCAAAGGAAATAAAATTAGTATGTCCAGAAATATCTGCACCCCATGTATATTGCAGTACTATTCACAATATTTAGTATATGGAATCAACCTAAGTGCCCATCAACAAATAAATGAATAAAGAAACTGTGGTCTATAGATACTGCAATACTATTCAACAATAAAAAGGAACAAAACCCTGTCATTTGCAACACCCATGAACCTGGAGGATATTATGTTAAGTGAAATGAGCCAGGCACAGAAGGACAAATGCTGCATGATCTCACTCATATGTCAATTATTTTAAAGTTGATCTCACAGAAGTAGAGAGCAGAATGGTGGTTACTAGAGGATGGGGTGGTTAGGGGCAGGAGGTTTGGGGAGATGTTGGTCAAAGGACACATATTTACAGTCAGATAGGTGGAACCAACTCAAGAGATCTCTTGTATAACTTGATTACAACAGTTAATGATGATATATTGTATTTGTAAAAATGCTAAGAGAGTAGATGTTAAGTTTCTCATCATAAAAATGACTATGTGAGGTAATGCATTTGTCAATTTATCCACTGAACAATGTCTATATACTTTAAAACATCATGCTGTACCCAATAAATACATACAATCCTATATTTAATTAAAAATCAAGTTTAAAACTTAAACTCATACATATATACAATTATTAAAATGATCTCAACTCAGGTAACAGAATGATTTAATGCAATTATGATGAGATCCACTTTTTCTGAAATTACACTGTGAATGTATCTTTTTATTTTTTTATTTTTTTGAGATGGAGTCTCACTCTTGCTCAGGCTGGACTGCAGTGGCGTGAACTTGGCTCACTGCAACATCCACCTGCCTGGTTCAAGCAATTCCCCTGCCTCAGCATCCCGAGTAGCTGGGATTACAGACGCATGCCACCATGCCCAGCTTTTTTTTTTTTTTTTTTTTTTTTTTGTATTTTTAGTAGAGATGGGGTTTCACCATGTTGGCCAGACTGGTCTGGAACTCCTGACCTCAGGCAATCTGCCCGCCTCGGCTTCCCAAAGTGCTGGGATTACAGGCATGAGCCACTGTGCCCGGCCTGAATCTATCTTAAATCAGATATTTACAATGAATCTAGACACATTTTTAATTGATTACATCATTCAGTGAACATCTAAAGTCACCAATTATTTTAAACTGATTCAATATCTGGAAAATAGGACTTAAACTGCATTCCCAAATGAACAACAACAAATCTAATCTATTAATCCATCATCACTTTGTAATTTAGTGCTGTAAATGGGTTTCTCAGAACAGTGGAGAGGATAACAGGTTTTTGAATGATCCCTTCTCAATGGTTAAATGTTTAGGACACTATACTACCTTGTTATGAAGACATCAATCCTCATAAATTTCCAAAAACTAATCAAAAGAGTCAAAAACTCTTTGTACAAACATGTACATTAATTTTGTTATAAAGGATCATAAAAACTTCTATATTTTCTATTAATGTAGGCATTAATAGGATAATAAACAATAAGATTTTGGCAAAAATGAAGAACACAAAATAAATTAATATGACTGGATATATATCCATTGCTTTGTTTTTGTGATTTCAGCATTTCTGCATGAAACTATCGTGACAATTGTGAATGGTCTTGTTGCCTGGTAGGAAACATCATAATATCACATAATTTTAGATGTTTGTTCATAGAGGATGAAGTGATGGTCTCATAAAAATTCTCAGTGCATTTGCTACTAGGTTAGAGAAGATGAAAAAGAAAGTAAACTCTTCTTGATTTAAAAAAGTTCAAATAGTGTTTTACATTGCCTCTAAGGAACTATTAATTTATCCCCAAATTATTCATTTTATGTGAAATATAGAAAATGTTTTTTTCCTAATATTTCAAGGACTTTTGCAGTACAATGAAATAAATACTTGTGGAAGTACCATCATGTTAGTAAAATTGAAAAGTATTACATGTGTAGAGAAATTACTTTTACATAGAGTTCTGCCATCGAATTGCTGATCCACTTAGTTAACTAAGTCAATTAATCAATACACTCGCCAGATTTATCTGAAGGAAACTTACTACTCTCAAATTCTATAACTCTGTGATACATTATATTCACCTGAGTTTCATTAAAAAAAAAAAACCTTTGTAGATTTATTTTATGCCTACCTGCCAGTAAATCATGTCTTTTGTAAGCTTCCTTGATTTTTTTTTGGACACTTACAGAAAGACAATTTACTGTCATAATGATTTAGAGAGAAATTCTGATGACCACAGTGAAAAATGAAAATCTCAAGAAATAATATTAAAAATATTTATCTCTTGATGTTTGTGTGTGTATAGAATGAATTAAACTTTGATTTTGGCTGGAAAAGCACCATCCTGAATAATTTAAATATATCATCCCTAAGTTGCTACGATGATCTAGTTGTTATACAATTTAAAGGAAGCAAGATGGATTACAGTAGGACTGGTTTCTTGTGTCTGGATTTGGTAGCCTCTGTATGTTAAGCTTTCTATATGATTATAAAACTAATATTTCAGAAATTATTTTATTGTTTTGTAGTCTGAAGTTATGATGCTTTTTCTTGTCCAATTGAAGAGAAAGAGGGATAATTTAACTTTTCTCTCAATAAGAGTGACACTTAAAATTTGAAGGTTAAGTTTACACATCTTTGCATGAATCACTGCTATTTAAAATAGTCCCTTCTCAATGGACTAAATGAGTTAAAGAGAAGGTAAGCATAAACTTTACAGAGCAATTACATTATTCAATTGACATCATAGTTATATAGATGTTTTTAAAATTAATGGTTTAACTATATCATGCAATAATGCATAGAGGAGAGCATATATGTTTGTATATAGAGATCCTGCCAAATATCTAATTGTCCAGAATACAAAAATGTATTCAATACAAAAACTTAACTCTAGCAGAGCATCTAATTTATGCTGAACTTGTATGTTGATCTTTCACATTATACTGTGAGATCACTGAGGTCTGGGACTCAGTTTTATTTATTTGTTTATTATTTTATATACCAAGTATTGAATACAATACTTAGTGCATAAAGGATTGAGTCCTTATTATGTTTCAGGCACTTTCTTAGGTGTTAGAAATATGCAAGTAAGCAAAAACAACAAAATTACTACTTCACTCTTGTAGCTTACAGTTTAGTCAAAGAAATATGCAACAATAAACATTCAAACAAATGTAATCTGTGTTTATGAGCAATGTTATACAGTCACAGTCTTCTTTAATAGAGGAGTTTAACCTGATCATTAAGGTAAACAAAACTTTACTGTGGCAGTATTGATTGACCTGTGATCTGAAGGGTAAGAAGGAAAAGAGGTCATCCCAAGCAAGGGAAACAGCTTGTTTTTTTTTTTCCTCCTGTTGCAGGAAAAACGTGCTCAGCACAAAAGACTGAAAGAAGCCAGAATTGATTAGACAATAGAGATGAAAAAAATATCTTGACCATGTAACTGGTTAAGTGGTCACTGAATGTGATTTTGCACATATTACTCTGCACGTTACTCCTCTAATATATTTTCATTACAGCGTTTATGAATTATCACACAAGATCTATTTGCTTGTTTATGTACTTTTTGTTCTTTTTTTTAATTTTCCACCATCAAAACCCATGCTCCATAAAAGCAGAAAGCTTGTGTTTATTGTTCTCTCTATGCCATAACCCTGATAACTAGGATAATACCAGAATATCATAAATGCTGAATAAATGTTAGTTCATTAAATTAAAAAATGAAGAATATTTTCATTGTCTATTACTACAGTGGCAAAAGTTATAGGACACAACATGCGCAAAAGAAAGCTCATCAATCAATCAAGAAGCACATTTTTTTTTCTTTTTGAGATAGAGTGAGAGAAAACACAATCCTGGAGACAGAGAATTGGGTTTCCAAGAAAAGTCTTTGCCCACTAAGTTAATACTTTATTCTTTCTCAACTATTCTTCTCTCCTGTCACTCTTTTCCCATCTTAAATTCATTTAATGGGATATTGCCACTGGGCTTAATACCTTTGGGCCTCCATGTTGTGAATGGCAAGGTGAGTGTAATGTAATTGGCACATTTTTGTGATGAAAGTGAGATAAAATAATCTAGCATAGGTGATGATCTATGGTAGATAATCAACACAGAATTTATGAAACTGTTGATGCTCCTATTGAGGCTATTGCTTTGGCTCCTGTTTTGGTGGTGGAGGATGAATCCTTTGAAAAGACAGCTGTACAATGGAGTTTTGTGAGTAGAATGACTAGGGAGTGCCCTTGGGATCAATGCCAATGAAAGAAATTGAAGGAAACAGGATAGGGCAAATAGGGCAAAGGGAGAAGTGGAGTTCTACGGTAGGTCAATGGTAGTTTTAGCTACCCACACCTGGATCTCCAAACTAAGTTGAACCCTCAATATTTTTCTGCATTGGGCCTAACTGGCCATATCTTTTACCCTTTGTATGTGAGATTCCCAGGGAAAAGTGTAACATTGAGGAAGAGGTTATCCTTGAAGGAACTGACAGCTGAGGCAATAAATCCTTTGAATGGGAATCTGGGTGCACATCACTACGTGTAACACCTCATTCTTCTTTCAGGTGATAAACTTTTTAGATCCTTGAGTCTCCTAAGACTTCAAAGAAGGGTCACTGATACAGCTGAGGAGAAACAAAACTCTAACCTCAGTTTCTCCACTCACTGGTAGGGAAAGTCTTTTATTTTAACTTGTTTTACTCCATTTATTATTACATTGTTTAATGGAAGGTTGTCTTAATCTGTTTTCTGTTGCTCAAAACAGAATATCTGAAACTGGATAATTTATAAGGAAAAACAATTTATTCCTTACAGTGATGGAGGCTGAGAAGTCCAAGGTCAAGGGGCTGTATTCAGTGAGTGCCTTCTTGCTGGAGGGGACTCTCTGCAGATTCTCAAAGCAGCACAAGGCCTCACATGAAGTGGGGGGTGATCGTACTAGCTCAGGTCTTTCTTCCTTTTCTTATAAAGCCACCAGTTCTACTCCCATGATAACTCATTAATCAAGTAACCCATTAATCCTGCAATTCAGAAATGAATTAATTTATTCATGAAGGCAGAACTCTTATGACCCAATTATCTCTTGAAGACCCCACTTCTCAATGCTGCCCACATTGGGGATTAAATTTTAACATGAGTTTTAGAAGAAACAAACATTTAAACCATAGCAAATGTCCACTATGAGACAATTACTATAATATATATTTACACACACATATCCTTTTTATTCTTACAAAAATACCATTTTTTGTAAACAAATAAAATGATGTTCAGAGCAGCTAAAATATTATCCTAGAATAATCAATAAATGGGCAACAAGGACAAGTCTCAAATTTAACAATTTGGTTGCTAATTTAGGTTTCTTGGACTAATTGATATCTATGGTGATTTTATGCCCCAAACTCCTAGTCTGTTAATGAACTGAAATCTAACGCCACAATAATAATTTGTATACATTATTTTAAAAATACAATCCTAATGTCAGACCAATGCATTGGTTAGTGTTTTAAACAGGAGATGTTTAAAGAATGTTTACATCCATGTTAATATAAACTGATTTATTCTGAAGTGCTAAGAGCGTCAAATCCTGTTGAAGAACTTTGCAGTTTTCAGGAATTATTGGTAAAAATATTAAAAATAATGCTAGAAGGGGGCCAACATAGCTAATTAGAAGCAGCTATGGTGTGTGGCAGTCACAGAGAGGAACAAAAGGGGTGAGTAAATACAGCACCTTCATCTGAAGTATTCAGGTACTCACATTGAGACTGACAAGAGAAACAATGTGATTCACAGAGAACAAAGAAAAGCTGGGCAGGGCGATCACCCACCTAGAAGTGACATGGAGCAAAGGGAACCCCCACACTCACCCAAGGGAAGCCATAAGTGAATATGTGACCCAAGAAACTACACTTCTCCCATTGATCTTTGCAACCCTCGGATCAGGAGATCCCCTCCTGAGCCCATCCCCTCCTGAGCCCAGTCAACCAGGGCCTTGGGTCCAACACACAGATCTGTGTGGAGTCTTGGCAGAGCAGCTGGTCAGGCACTGATAGGGACCCAGGAGCTTTATGTACTCGGCCTCGGGATACCTGACAAATGTGACTTCAACTCAGGCAAGGCAGGAGCTCCATATATACTGTTAAGAAGGGGGATGAATCCAGGGGTCTGAGCAGTGTCAGTCTGCAGGCCCCACTTCCACAGCACCTCACAAGATAAAACCCACTGGCTTGGAATTCCAGCCAGCCACCCACAACAGGGCCTGCCTGAGATTGGATGGAGCTCCTGAGGTGAGAAGTGGGCCACCACCTTTGTTGTTTGGATGACTCAGCTATTCCAGCCTTCAGGCTTTGGAGAGTCCCAGTGGTCCAGATGAGGAAGGGACCCCTCCAGTGCAGCACAGCTACTTTACCAAAACATGGCCAGAGAGCTTCTGTAAGCAGAAGTCTAATTCATTCCTCCTCCGAGCCAGGGACTCCAGCCACCCCCATCTGTGTTCTATAAACATAATTCTTATCTCTCCCTGGGACAGAGTGCCTTGGGGGAGGAACAGGCCACAGCCTTTGTTGTTTAAATGACATGCCATTCCAACCTGCAGGATTTGGAGAGTCCAAGCTGAATGGGGCAGAAGTGGTTCTCCAGCATGGCACAGCTGTTTTGTTGATGCATGGCCAGACTTAAATGGTACCCTGATTCATTCCTTCTTCCTGGGCATGTACTCCCAGCTGGGACCTCTGGCCACTCTGACCAATGTGCTATGACTGACAGTTCCAATTTCTCCACAGCAGGAGGTTCCCAGAGAACTTCCTTTTGCTATTTGGGCATCTCAGCCAGATATGAATTATGTCAGCCAGTCTAGCCAGTGGAACTTGGAGAGGCCAAACTGACTGGGGGCTTAAAGGATCCCCAATGCAGCACACCTGCTCTATAAAAATGTAGCTAGACTGCTTCTTTAAGTAGGTCCCTGATCTCATTCCTGCTGACTGGGTAAGATCTCCCAATTGGAGTTTCCAGCAACCTCCTAATGGTGCATTTGGGCCAGGAACAGCTAAGTACCTGCCTGGGACAGAGCTCCCAGAGAAAGTGGGGCAAGCTGCCATCTTTGCTATTTCATAGCCTTCACTGGTGATACATTCTGGTGCTCGGAAAACCAAGGTGAATAGAGCCTGGAGGTGACCTCCAGCAAAACACAGCAACCCTATGGAAGAATGGCCAGAGTGTTAAAAGGAAAACAAACAAATAAACAAAAACAACAGTAACAACAAAAAAACACACAAAAAAACCCCATCCAGAGGTCAGCAACCTCAAAGATCAAAGGTAGATAAGCCCACAAAGGTGAGAAAGAATCAGTACAAATGCTGAAAACTCCAAAAGCCAGAGCACCTCCTTTCCTCCAAATTACTGCAACACCTCCCCAATAAGGATTGAGAACTGGGCTGAGGCTGACATGGCTGAAATGACAGAAGTAGGCTCCAGAATGTGGATTAAAACAAACTTCATGTGCTGAAGGAGCACATTGTAACCCAGTGTAAGGAAGCTAAGAATCATAAAACAATACAGGAGCTGAAGACAAAATAGCCAGTATAGAGAGGAACATAATCGACCTGACAGTTAAAAAAATTCACTACGAGGACTTCACAATACAATCACAAGTATTAATACCAGAATAGACCAAACAAGAAAAAATCTCAGAGCTTGAAGACTGTCTTTCTGAAATAAGAGAGGCAGACAAAAAATAGAGAAAAAAGAATAAAAAGAAATTAACAAAATGTCTGAGAAATATGAGATTATGTAAAGAGACCAAATCTACAACTGATTTAGTTATTAGAAGAGGCAGGGTGAGTGGAACCAAGTTGGAAAACATATTTTAAAATATCATCCAAGAGAACTTCCCCAACCTAGCTAGATAGGCTAGATCCAAAATCAGGAAATCCAGAGAACCCCTGTAAGATACATCAGGAGAAGTTCTTCCCCAACACCCATAATCATCAGATTCTCCAAGGTCGAAATACAAGAAAAAAATGTTAAGGACAGCCAGAGAGAAAGGCTGGGTCAACTGCAAAGGGAAGCCCATCAGACTAACTGTGGACCACTCAACAGAGACTCTACAAGCCAGAAGAAATTGGAGTCCAATATTCAATATTCCTGAAGAAAAGAAATTTCAACCCAGAATTTTGTATTTGTCCAAATGAAGCTTCATAAACAAAGGAGAAGCAAATGCTGAAGGAATTTGTTACCAACAGACCTTCAGACAAGCAAATGCTATCTTTTTCAGACAAGCAAATGCTGAAGGAATTTTTACCAACAGACCTTCCTTACAAGAGCTCCTGAAGGAAAAACTAAATATGGAGAGTAAAAACTATTACCAGCCACCACAAAGACACATTGAAATACACAGACCAGTGACACTATGAAGCAACCACATAAACTGGTCTGCAAAATAACCAGATAGCATCATGATGACAGGATCAAATCCACACATATCAATACTAACCTTAAAAGTAAGTAGGCTAAATGACCAAACTAAAAGACAGAGACTGGCAAGCTGGATAAAGAACTGAGACCCATCAATATGCTGTCTTCAAGAGACCCACCTCACATGCAAAGACACACATTGTCTCAAAATGTAGGAATGGAGGAAAATTTTCCAAACAAATGGAACACAGAAAAAAACCAGTGTTGCAATCCTAGTTTCTGAAAAAATAGAGTTTAAACCAACAAAGATCAAAAAAGACAAAGCAGGATATTACATAATGGTAAACAATTCAGCGAGAGGAGCTAACTATTCTAAATATATATGCACAGAATAAAGGAGCACCCAGATTCATAAAGACAGTTCTTAGAGATCTTCAAAAATACTTAGACTCTTACATAATAGTGAGAGACTTTAACACCCCAATGACAATATTAGACAGATTATCAGGACAAAAAATTAACAAAAATATTCAGGACCTGAACTCAGCTCTAGGACAAGTGGATATCTACAGAATTCTCCCCGCTGAACAACAGAATATACATTCTTCTCATCACCACACGACACTTACTTGAAAATTGATCCAAACTAAAACTATCCTCAGGAAATGCAAAATGACTGAAATAATAACAGTCCCTCAGACCACTGCACAATTAAATTAGAGCTCAAAATTAAGAAATTCACTTAAAACCATACAAGTCCATGGAAGTTGAACAACCTACTCCTGAATAACTTTTGTGTAAATAATGAAATTAAAGTAGAAATCAAGAAGTTATTTGAAAGTAATGAGAACAAAAAAGACATTATACCAGAATATCTGGGATGCAGATAAAGCAGTGATAAGAAGGAAATTTATAGCACTAAATCCTCACATCAAAAAACTAGAAAGTATTCCATGGTGTATATGTGCCACATTTTCTTAATCCAGTCTATCATTGTTGGACATTTGGGTTGGTTCCAAGTCTTTGCTATTATGAATAGTGCCGCAATAAACATACATGTGCATGTGTCTTTATAGCAGCATGATTTATAATCCTTTGGGTATATACCCAGTAATGGGATGGCTGGGTCAAATGGTATTTCTAGTTCTAGATCCCTGAGAAATACTATGCAGCCATAAAAAATGATGAGCTCATGTCCTTTGTAGGGACATGGATGAAGCTGGAAACCATCATTCTCAGCAAACTATCGCAAGGACGAAAAACCAAACACTGCATGTTCTCACTCATAGGTGGGAGTTGAACAATGAGAACACATGGACACAGGAAGGGGAACGTCACACACTGGGGTCTGTTGTGGTGTGGGGGGCGGGAGGGATAGCATTAGGAGATATACCTAATGCTAAATGATGAGTTAATGGGTGCAGCACACCAACATGGCACATGTATACATAAGTAACAAACCTGCATGTTTTGCACATGTACCCTAAAACTTAAAGTATAATAATAATGAAATAAATAAAATTTAAAAAAAGCTAGAAAGATCTTAAGTTAACAACCTAACATCACAACTAAAAGAACTAGAAAACCAAGAGCAAAGAAATCCCAAAGCTACCAGAAGACAAGAAACAATCAATATCAGAGCTGAACTGAAAGGAATAGAGACATGAAAAACTGTTCAAAAAATCAACCAATCCCGGAGCTGTTTTTTTTTAAAAAAAACTAATAAAATAAATATATCACTAGCTATACTAATAAAGAAGAAAAGAGAATATTTAAATAAACACAATTAGATGATAAGGGGAATACTACCACTGACCTCACAGAAATACAAACAACGATCAGAAAACATTATAAACACCCTATGCACATAAACTAGAAAATCTAGAAGAAGTGGATAAATTCCTGGACACATACACCCTCCCAAGATTGAAACAGGAAGAAATTAAATCTCTGAATAGACCAATAATGAGTTCTGAAATTGAGGCAGTAATAAATAGCTTATCCACTAAAAAAAGCCCAGGACCAGACAGATTCACAGAATTGTTCCAGAGGTACAAGGGAAAGCTGGTACCATTCCTACTGAAATTATTCCTAAATAAATGAAAAGGAAGGACTCCCCCCTAGCTCTTTCTAGGAGGCTAGCATCACACTGATAAACCTGGCAGAGATACATGAAAAAACAAAACAAAACAAAACAAAATAAACTTCAGGCCAATATCCTTGATAAACATTAATGGGAAAATCTTTAACAAAATACTAGCAAACCAAATCCAGCAAAAACTTAGACACCATGATCAAGTAGGCTTCATCCCTGGGATTCAAGGTTTGTTCAATATATGCAAATCTATAAGTGTGATTCATCACATAAACAGAAATAAGGACTAAAACCACATGATTATCTCAATACATGCAGAAAAGGCGTTCAATATAATACAACATCGCTTCATGTTAAAAATTCTTAATTAACTAGGTATTAAATGAACATACATCAAAATAATGAGCCATATGTGACAAACCCACAGCTAATATTATACTGAATGGGCAAGAGCTGGAAGCATTCCTTTTGAAAACCAGAACAAGACAAGGTTGCCCTCTCTCACCACCCCTAGTGAACATAGTATTGGAAGTTCTGGCCAGGGCAATCAGTCAAGAGAAAGAAGTAAATGGCATTCAAATAGGAGGAGAGGAAGTCAAACTATTCCCGTTTGTAGATGACATGATCCTATATCTAGAAAACCCCATCATCTCAGCTCAAAATCTTCTTAAGCTAATAAGCAACTTCAGCAAGTCTCAGGATACAAAATCAATGTGAAAAAATGACTAGCATTCCTATATGCAAAAAACAGACAAGTGAGAGCCAAATCATGAATAAACACCCATTCACAATTGCTGCAAAAAGAACAAAATACCTAGGAATACAGCTAATAAGGGAAGCGAAGGATCTCTTCAAGGAGAAGTATAAACTTCTCAAATCAGAGAAGACAAAACTAATGAAAAACATGCCATGCTCATGGATAGGAAGAATTAACATTGTTAAAATGGCCATACTGCCCAAAGCATAGATTCAATGCTATTCCCATTAAACTGCCAATGACATTCTTTATGGAATTATAAAAAACTATTTTAAAATTTAAATAAAAACCAAAAAGAGCCTGAATGGCCAAGGCAACTCTAAGCAAAAAGAACAAAACTGGAGGCATCATACCACTCGACTTCAAATTATACTACAGGACTACAGTAACCAAAACAGCATGGTACTGGTACAAGAACACATACGTAGACCAGTGAAACAGAATAGAAAACCTAGAAATAAGATCATACACCTACAAATATCTGATCTTCAACAAACCTCACGAAAACTAGCAATGGTGAAGGGATTCCCTGGGAGAACTGGCTAGCCATATGCAGAAAATTGAAACTGTACCCCTTCCTTACACCATATAAAAAAATCACCTAAGATGCATTAAACATTTAAATATAAAACCCAAAACTATAGAAACCCTAGAAGGAAACCTAGGCAATACCATTCAGAATATAGCCAGGGGCAAAGATTTCATGATGAAGACACCAAAAGCAATTGCAACGAAAGCAAAAATTGACAAATAGGATCTAATTAAACTAAAGAGCTTCTGCACTGCAAAAAGAAACTATCAACAGAGTAAACAGACAACTTACAGAATGGGAGAAAAATTTTGCAAACTATGCATGTGAAAAAAGGTCTAATATATTGCATCTACAAGGGACTTAAATAAATTTACAAGAAAACAATAAACAACTGCATTAAAAAGTGGGTAAAGGACACAGACAGACACTTTTCAAAAGAAGACATACATGTGGCCAACAAACACGTGACAAAAAGCTCAACATCAGTGAGCTTTTTAATGATCAGTGGATCATTTTTAATGATCAGTGGATCATTTTTAATGATCAGTGGATCATTAGTGAAATGCAAATCAAAACCACAATGAGATACCATCTCACACCACTCAGAATGGCTATTATTTGAAAAGACAAAACATAACAGATGCTGGCGAGGCTGTAGAGAAAGAGGAATGCTTTTACACTGTTGATGGTTTGTAACTTAGTTCAACCATTGTGAAAGGCAGTGTGCTGATTCCTCGGAGACCTAGAGGCAGACATACCATTTGCCCCAGCAATCCTATTACTCTATTACTGGGTATATACCCAAAGGGACGTAAATCATTCTGTTATAAAGATACATGAACACCTATGTTCATTATAGCCCTATTCACAATAGCAAAGATGTGGATTCAAGCTAAATACCCATCAACAGTTGACTGAATACAGAAAATATGGTACATATATGCTATGGAATACTATACAGCCATAAAAGGAACAAGATCATGTCCTTGCAGGAACATGGATGGAGCTGGAGGCCATTGTCTTTAGCAAACTAATGCAGAAACAGAAAACCAAATACCACATGTTCTCACTTAATAGTGGGAGGTAAATGATGAGAACACATGGACACATGGAAGGGTACAAAACACATTGGGGCCTGTGGAGGGCAGTGGATTGGAGGAGGGAGAGGATTAGGAAGAATAGCAGGTGGATATTGGGCTTACTACCTGGGTGCTGGGATGATCTGTGCAGAAAGTCATCATGGCAAACGTTTACCTATGTAACAAACCTGCACATCCTGACATGTACCCATGAACTTAAAAGTTGGGAATAAAAAAAATTAAATGATGACAATGATGTTGTTTCATATATGTACAAAACTGGATGGAAGAAAAGACTATTATAGAATCTGATTAGAAGAATCTTAGTAGAATCTTATTCTACTCATTGAATACAGGAAAAAGATGTATTTTGGCTTATGGTTATATTGATGAAACAAGCCTAAATTTAACTCAATAACTCTTTTGTTGCAATATACATATTTTTTATTTTACACCTTTAAGCATTCCCACCATTTTCACCTAAAAGTAGTGCCTAATGGAGTCTGAAAAATTCATTGAATAGGAAAATTGGTCAAAGTTGTGTACCTCTTCTGTTAGGGAAATATGCTATTATGCTAAAGCAGTGGTTCTCAATGTGTGGTCCAAGACCTGCAACATTAGCATCAGTTGTGAATTTGTTAGACATGCAGCTTCTCAGGAGCTACCTCAAATCTACTAAATCAGAAATTTTGAATGAGGGGCCAAGTAAGCTGAATTTAATCAAGCCCTCCATGCTGATGCTTGTTAAAATATTAGAAAGCTGAAAAGTACTGATGTAGATTATTTTAGATTGAAAAGTTTAATGCAAATACGTATCACCTATAAAACTATGAGTGGTCACAGATTATGGAGGAGAGAGAGAAACTAACAGAAAATGACTCAAATAAGAAATAGTATAAGAAAAGAGAGAGGTTACTTTCATCTGATAGAGGTTCTTTGCATTTAAATGGAATAATAATGTCAACCTAAAAAATTAAAAAGGCAAGAATCTGGTTTAAAGGGTATATTCTAGCAAAAAGGTTGAAGGTGGGCCATCCAGGAAAGCACAGATCCAAAGAATGGAAGTCAGTGTTCCAAAAAATAGAAATTTTGGATAATTTTGTTGATGAAAAAATCAAATTCTGTAAGATATTTGAAGAGATTTATTCTGAGCCAAATATGACAGACCAGTAGCCCATAACACAGCCCTTAGGAGATCCTGAGAACATGTGCTTAAGGTGGTGAGGCCAAAACATGGTTTTATGTATTTTAGGAAAACATAAGACATCAATTAATACATGCAGGCTGTACATTGGTTTGGTTCAGAAAAGTGGAACATCTGGAAGTGGGGGCTTTCAGATCTTAAGTAGAGTCAAAGATTTTTCTTATTGGCAATTGGTTGAAAGAGTTAAGTTGTTGTATAAATACTCAGGGAAGTCTGGGTTAAGATAAGGGGTTGTGGAAACCAAGGACCAAGGTTTTATTGTGCAGGCAAAGCCTCCAGGTAGCAGGCTTCAGAAAGAAAAAATTGTAAGTGTTTCTTTTCAGGCTTAAAGAGTCTGTTCTATTAGTAACTCCAAAAGGGAAGAAGGTATAATAAGCTATTTCTGACCCCCTCTTCCCATCATGGCTAGTTTTTCAGGTTATCTTTGGAATGCCCTTTGCCAAGAGGAAGGGTCCATTCACATAGTTGAAGGGCTTAGAATTTTATTTTTGATTAACAATTTATATAGGCAAAGTTCAAGAAACTTTAATGGAAGTTTAACAGAATTTCAATATATTTTTATGTAAGGCTTAATACATAGTTATCGCAATCTGATTAGGCAAAGTTATATTTTTTATTGTTTTTTAGGAAAGGTATATTTAACATTCTACACTACACCCTGTTTGGGTGCCATCTGATCTGAGTTAGGTAAAGGACAATAAAGCAAGTGGTTAATCTATAACAAAGATCAGTGATTGGATATAGAAGTTCTGTCTCTGGTCTTTTCTAGTCATTTACAGAACAAGAACAATGAGGAAGAGAGTTAAGCTATAACCTAAGAAGCAGATTTGCAAACATGTTATGTGACTCAGCTCACAGTCACATCTCTCTCAAGGTTTCAAGTGTTTTGGGGTTCAAACAGTTTTTAGATTTCATTTATTTTCACAATGATGAAACTACTTTCTAGAAAAGAGAGAGCCATACCTAGAAAGAAGTGAGAAAGCAAAAACATACAATTTACAGATTCTCCACACAGCCCAGGTCTACAAACACCTGGAGAATAATAATAACATATAAGTTTGTAGATTTCACTGGCATTCCCTCTTCCACAGAGTTTATATCAGAGGACAAACATTTCTATTACTGAAAGCTCTTCAGCTTGAGAAACAGCTTTAGTTTTACGAATCCTGCAGTAAATATGCATAGCCACATGATGCAAGAGCGTAGCAGTATCCAGTGAGTCACATTCTGGGCCTGAGAGGGAGGGGATTTTATTTTTTAATTTAGGTAACTCTGGGTCTTATTCTTTTCTTTTTAGAGACAGCATCTGGCTCTGTCACGCAGGCTAGAGTGTAGTGGCATGTGGTATTTATTCTTTCTTGGAGAATAATGCTTACTCTAACATATAAGAAATTTCCAAGTTGATAAAAATGTGAAATTATGGTAATCCTTCTTTTGGTTTGTTTCACTAAAAATAGTTATTATTGAAATATCTTTGCTTTAGTAGTTGAATAATTCATGAAAAAACATGATTAACTTATGATAAACTTTACAAACACCAACACCACATTTTTTTCCTAGTATGTTACTATAGCCTCTTCACTGTTCTAAACTGTCAGTTCAGATTTAGTTAGGGCCTTATGTTAAATTTTTCTTTACATTTTGATCTGAATTTACTAGACTCTCTTTAGGTAATTTTGAAAGTAGAGTAAAATTTTCTGTAGCTGCTACCATGTTTGGAGTCAAATACCCACATATGGATGTGTGTCTCCGTAAAACATCTTTTGGCACAAGCATGTTGCATCTTACCATGTATGTTAACTTAGGCATAAATATATGCAGCCTGCAACAGGTGTGAATACCATGCAGAGAGGGTCTCATGATCTTTGGCTAATGTAATTAAACAGCCCAGCATTTTCTAAAGGCATGTCTATTTAATTACTTCACATTGTTAATGATTCCATATGAAGGTGATTTTTCCCCTCATGATCTCATAGATGAAAAAAATAGATTCTTACATATTTTTGGGGGGTATACAGAGGAAATGGTGGTTTTATGGAATTAGATGCCTCTAAAATTTTCCCCCTTTTGTGACAACGTAGTCGCTGAAAACAAAGACATTCACACTGTTACTTCTGTGTACCAGGGAAAGCTTTGATCAAAGTTTTACCATGTGTCATTATCAGGTAATACATTCTTCACAGTTGGTAATTAGCAGGTGATAATGAAAAGCAAGTCCAATATTTCACATATGCCCTTAAAAGCTACATCTCCAGCAGGAGGAAAGAGCTGAGAAATTGATTTACAAAATAGTTTTCCACATATTGCTTCACTAAATAGAAAGACAAATCCCTTTTAAAATCAGAAGCTGGACAAATGTGAGGAAATCAGAATCTGCAAGCAACCAGATAATGTTATTGATCATTAACTGTGGATTATCTGTTACATGCAGTGTAGTTTGGTGGAACTGATTTTTAAAGTTAACAGAGACTATTTTCATAGATAACTGACTCCAAGCAAATATCTTGGCTCATTTACAATTATTTTCCTGTGATTGTGATTTTTTCTTTTTTTAAATGTAATTGAATATTGATAAATTATAATTGTATATATTTACATACATATGATATATGTATATAACGTGGAATGATTGGATCAAGCTAATTAACATGTCCATCACTTCGAATAATTCAACAAAAGTTAAATTTCCTGGAAATTGGGTACCAGCCAAATCTACTGGACAATACCTAATGGACAACATGGCATGATTTTGTGTTAACGACGTATCTGCCTCAGAATCTCTATCACTAGATTACTAAGGTGATAGACATGTCCAATTTAAATCATTCTTGAGGATTAAAACAGGGAGCAAGCAAAAGATTAAGGTTAAATTCTAAAGCGCTGGAATCAGAAGTTTAAGGTTTTCATCTTCAGTACTATATGCTCAGTCTGAGCAAGTTTTGACAAGTTTCTTAAACATTCTGACTCTGTGCTGCTTCCTCTGTAAGACTGATGGGGTGAATAAAAGTGAAGATTTCATGGGGAGATGTGAGAAATATGTGTGAGCATACAAGTGAGGTCCTTAGTTTACTGCTTGGCAATGAAAGCCAAGGCATAATTTTTAGCTATTATTATTTTTATTACTATTACTCCTTCTATTATCATTTATGTTCAGCAGAGCCCTGGTAACATTTACCTAGATATCATCCTGGACAAGGTGGGATATTAAGCTATAATCATCCACTGATGAACATGAAATTGTACACAGGATTAGATAGTTTTCACCTAAAATGAGAAAACATTTTGAATAGTGGAATGCAGGGCTGGTTGGTTTTGAAAAAGCATAGAGATTGAGAAAAAACTTCAGTGCATGAGTCAATTCTTGCCCAAGGAAGGCAAGCTTAGGTGTGTCCTAGGAAGTAAGTACCTCATTATTTCATGACTGTAGTGGACTGGTCAGTAACAGAATGCATCAAAGGAAAAGTGCAATTTTTCAATGCAGAGTGAAGAATTTAGGGAATAAACCTTAAATTATGCAGGAGGTAAATTTTACTCATTAATATATATTTATTGAATGATAGACATGTATTGGGGACTGTATTAGGAGAGGTGACAACAAGCTTTAATATGTCTGTTAAAGACAACAGTTTTAATATAACTTGCAGAGAAATATAAAAATGTACTAGCACACATGTAATTGGTTTATATATGTGTTTTAAAATGCTGAATTATAATACGATAGTCAAAGGTTACATTTGTGCCTAATTTTTGCATAATCACAGATTATTTCACCATACAGCAGTTGCCATTATTTTTCCATTTTAAAAGCTTATTAATAAAACAATTTCCTTCTAGAAAAGTCTTATTACCTGTGCTATAATAGATGACAATAAATAGAAAGGAATTTTTAGATAAGATAAAGCAAAGTTACCTTCTATAAGGTTCTGTAGTAAATCTGTAAAAGTTACAGCTCTACATTTCACTCAATTGACCCACTATAATTGTAATAATAAATAATTACCTTTTTTGGACACTCTAAGATTGTTCACTATGACTGTACAATTCTTACAGTAACTGGCTACTGAGAAAATGCCAAAGGCATTCAAGGAGTTCATGCAAGGATTTTCCTTTATTAGTCTTTGCTGTTGAGTAAAATTATGTTTAATGAGAGGTAAACAGTGCAGGGGAGACAGTGCTGTGTTTTGGATAACTATGGAAACTGTTGCTAAGAAGCACACAACATCTGCAAATTCATTTCCTGAACCCAGTTTCCAGCCCCCAACCTTGCCCCATTTCTGGGAATTATATTGCCATTTACTGTGCAATTGTTGGTCACTGAATATTTTAGAGTACATGGGCTAATGATAAACAGTATCACATCATCTTTCAGTCTGAAAACACACTGTCATAGAAGCATCAGGACTGCTAATGAGAGAAGAGATAGATGTTAATTTTTAGTCAGAATTATAGTGAGAATATTGATTCCTTATATTAACTATTTCTATTGCTTATTATATTCCCAGCATCTGTGACAAGCCATGAAAAAGAATCTGTTTGAAAAAGAATACAACATTACTTTGCTCCTGTTCCCATGTGTCCTTTTTTGATTTTGTAATCTGGAAGATACAAGCTAAATTTATTTTAAAAATAGTGAAAATCACCTCCCAACAAATCATTACATATTATATAATGCTTGATGATACTCTTTGTCATGGGTTGTTTTGTGTGTGTGTTCATTTAAAATATGCCTTTGCAATAGGAAACACATACTCTGACAATTTTACAGGCCAATAAACAAATCTGTATTATTAATTACCACTGTCAGAACGTGTCTTGGTATTTGATTACTGGCAATGGTTCTTGCTGAACAGATTCATAGTAATAAGATCCTTGATTCTCTGGAAAGGTAGCCTGACAAATTAACCAACCTGTGATTTATCCAATCAAGAGAATTCTCAGGAAGATTTGAGTGTTTCCCGCCATTTCAATTATAAAAATAAAACTAGTTAGCCTGATATCAAGATAGATATTTTTTTCCTCTCTCAATTCTTAGAAGAATCAAGTTTTGCTCATGGCTTACATTGAGATATTTCTGTAGACACATGAAATTGCAAAAAAATTTTGGTTTATGAAATTCAAATGACATGTATATACTAATTAACAGCATCACCCTTAAGAGTGGAAAAGTAAGCTTAAAAATTACATCAGTTTTCTGTTGCTGCTGTAAAAAATTGCAACAGACTTCGTGGTTGAAAACAACATGAATTCATTGTCTTACACTTCTGGGGGTCTGAAATCTGGATTGGTCCCACTGGGAAAAAAGAAAGATGTTGGTATAGTTTGGATCCACGTCCCCACCAAATCTCATGTAAAATTGTAATTGCCAATGTTGTAGATGGGGCATTGTAGAAGGTGATTGGATCATGAGGGCAGATTCCTCATGAATGGTTTAGCACCATCCTTCTTGGTACTGTCCTTGCAATAGTGAGTGAGTTCTCATGAGATCTGGTTGTATAAAAGTATGCAGCACCTCCCTACACTTCTTGCTACTGTTCCCACCATCTGGAATGTTTAGCTCCCTCTTTGCCTTCCACCATGATTATAAGTTTCCTGACACCTTCACAGAAGCCAAGCAGATGCCAGCTTCATGCTTTCTATAGCACCTGTAGAACCGTGAGCCAATTAAACCTCTTTTCTTTATAAATTATCCAGTCTCAGGTATTTCCCTGTAGCAATGTGAGAACAGACTAGTACAGATGTTGTCAAGGCTGCATTTCTTCTAGAGGCTGTAGGAAAGAATCTGTTTCCTTGCCTTTTTCCCCTTCTAGAGGCCACCCACATTTCTTGGCTCATAATTATTTTCTATCTTTAAAACCACTAATGGCCAGTTGAGTTTTTTTCACTCTGTGTCTTACAGTAACACTGACTCTTCTGTCTCCCTCTGTCACTTATAAGGATCACTGTGGTTACATTGGGCTCACCCAGATAGATAATTCAAAATAATATGCTCATCTTAAGTTCAGCTAATTAAAAACTGTATTTCTCCCGGCAACCTTAATTCTCCTTTGCTCTGTACCATAATATAGTCACAGGATTCAGGGATTAGGACATGGACATATTTGGGGGAACATTATTCTACATACATCAGAACATAAGCTGATTTTTCAGAATTCATATTGAGAAGGACGTAACTATATTCATTACTGTAGCCAATTATTTTGTTATTGCAATGTTGGACTCTGCTAATCTATTTTTTTTATGTTATTATGAATTGTGTCAGTTCAAAAATGTTTACTACTTAAGCAATCTCTACCCAACTCCTAGAATTAGATTTCTGAAAACCTTAGAAATGAGAGAAACCATATGGGAAAATAAGTTTACTGGAGCAAATTAATAAATTGTATATGTATATATAAAATACTCATAAAAATATATACACTCATTCACTGAAACAAAATACACAAGAAAAAACAAAAAACAATCACTAAACAAGTGTAATATATTTTACAAATCCTAATATGCAAATTTGTCACATTTTAACATTTAACATTTCGATTTGGGATGGATCTTTTAATTGCTATTTTTCTGTGGCAGTCATGAAGCACCATTTTGTCTGCACAGTCCATCAAAACTTGCAGAGTAAGTATAGCTAGTTTGGAAGAAAATTTCAGATACAATGATGAACACTCTTTTAAGAAATGCTGTAATTCTAAAACTCCTGCTGGCAGAGAATAATATGTGAAAACACATACACACCCACACACATAAACACATGCACACTCTAAGTTGAAGAGTTTCAGAAGAGTTAGACACGGAATGTTGAAGTATTTTAATGACATTTTAACAAATATATTTCACTTATATTTTCCTTCTTATGTAAGTGAAAGCATAACATTATTATGTCTAAAAATCTATTTTAATATAAAATGAAACTACAAGTGGAAGGATAGTGTAATATTTTCATTAGCAGCATCTTTTATTTATTGGTATTACATAAATGGTAGTGTTTCCTATCATTGATGGAATTCTAGCTTCAGTGAAATAGTGTATGAATTTTGTCTTTCTATTGCTCTTGCCTTTGGGAAACCTACTATCCCAATACCATTTTGAAAGGTCACTCATTGTATTCCATCTTTACTACAAGGGTAAATGGTGGCTGATCCAAGTAAGTGAATCAGAGTGTTACCAGATCTTTACATTGGGGTATATTAGTCATGGTACAGCCATCTGCAACATAAAGATGAGTAGTGATTTAAGCCAGCTGTTTACTTAAAACTCTTGCCAAAATTAATTTCTAAAAGGGCTGGGGTTTAAATAACGGTCAGAGTGTTTCCTAAGCTATGATATATTAGTCTTAGAAGCGTTTGTTCTGATTCTGCTAGAATGAGGAGAAATTTGAATCACGTTTACTGAATCCAATTAAGATTATCTTTCTAGAACACATGAAGGCAGAAAAATAAGACCAAGTGTTAAATAAATGTATGCAAGAACAACTGTAAGAAATGAAGATAAATAAAAGTCCATGTGAGGTTCACTGAGGTCCTGGATCTAGACATGCCTGAAGGAGCAATGACCTTGAATATGACCTTGGATTTACTATTTCCTCAAAAATTTTTGAATTGAGTTTTACCTTCCAAAAGAAAGAACCATGACAAGTATGATAATACATAATTAATTATTTCTTAATGTTAATTTTAAATAAACTTCTGAGATGATGCAACATCTCTAATGATGGCAATGATGAAAAGAATTATAGCAGAGCAAAGCAGGAAGATACATTGTTATTAGGAAAGGACAGCTCCAAGCCCACTTCACCTCAAACTTACATATCTCCATACTTTCACAATTATCTAATTTTTGAAAAAATAAATATTATTGTGTATATTTTTCTGGTTTACAATATGTTGTTATGGGATACATATAGACAGTAAAATGGTTTCTACAGTGAAGCAGATTAACATATTACACATAGTTAATTTATTGTGATAAGAGCAACTAAAATCTTATTTATTAAAAATCTCTAAGGTAGTGCAATTTTATTAACTTTAGTTCTTATGTTATACACTAGAGCTCTAGACTTGTTTATCCTGTATTTTTGCTAGTTTATATTCTTTGACCTACATCTAACCATTTTTTTCTCCCTCCTCTACCCAACCCATGGTAACCATTCATTCTCAATATTTGTGTATTTGAGCTTATTTTTTTTGGGTTATATTCCACCTATAAGTGAGATCATGCAATGTTTTTCTCTCTTTGTCTGGCTTATTTCACTTAGCATAATGTCCTCCAGTTTCATCTGCATTGTGGCAAGTGGAAGGATCTCTATCTTCATTAAAATTGAATAATATTGTTACATATTTATTCCACATTTTATTTATCAATCCATCTGTCAATAGACCGGTGGATTGTTTTTATATCTTACCTATTGTAAATAATGCTTCAATATACATGATAGTGCAGGTATCTTTATAAGGTGTTGACTTCATCTACTTTGGGTATGTGTTCAGAAGAGGAATTGCTGGGTCATATGGTAGTTCTATTTTGGATTTCTTTAGGAACCTCCATATTGTTTGTCATAATGGATGTACCAATCTCCATTCCCACCAACAGTGTACTAGAGTTCACTTTTCTTCACACCCTCAATAACGTTTATTATTTCTTTTTTTTTATAATAGCCATCCTTGCAGGCATGAGGTGATTCCTCACAGTGGTTATAATTTGCATTTCCCTTATGATTAGTGACATTGAATGTGTTTTAATAGATCTGTTGACTATTTTGGGGTCTTTATAAGAGAATTATGTACACAGTTTCCTTGCTCATTTTAAAATTGAATTATTTGTATTTCTGCTATTGAGTTGTAAGAGTTCTTTATAAATGTTGTATATTAACCTCTTATCAAATATGTGATTTACACTCACTTTTTTCCCAGTGTAGGTTGACTTGGTTGTTTGCTTGCTGTGCAGAAGCATTTTAGTTTTATGTAGTTCAACTTATTTATTTTTATTTGTGTAGCCTGAGCTTTTGGTGTGATATCCAAAAAATTATTGCAAAGGCCAATGTAAAGGAGCTTCCCTCTACATTCTCTTCTAGAATTATTATGGTTTTGAGTGTTACATTTAGGTCTTTTATCCATTTTGGGTTGACTTTTGTGTAGGTTGTTATATAAGGGTCCGATTTTATTATTTTGCATGTGGAAATCTAGTTCTCTCAGCATCCTTTATTGAAGAGACTGTCTGTTCACTGCTGTATCCCTTGGTGTTCTTGTCAAAAATTAGTTGACCATATATGTTTGCATTTATTTCTGGGTTCTCTATTGTGTTCCATTGTCCTATGTTTATTCTAGTACCAGGCTGCTCTGATTACTATAACTTTGTAACATAATTTTCAATCAGAAAGTGTGATACCTCCAAGTTTCTTTTTTTCTCAGTATTGTTTTAACTATTTGGAGTTTTTTAGGTTTCATACAAATTTTAGGACTTTTATTTCTATTTCCATAAAGAATGCCATTGGATTTTTGATAGGGATTTATGTAGTATGGCAGTATTTATAGTATGAATTCTTCCCATCTATGAACATGGGACAGCTTTTCATTTTTTTATTCTTAAATTTTTTTTACTAATTTTTTTTTTTTTTTTTTTTCTGGTACTAATTACTTTTCTTTTTTTTTTTTTTTTAATTTATTTATTTATTTATTTATTTTTTATTATACTCTAAGTTTTAGGGTACATGTGCACATTGTGCAGGTTAGTTACATATGTATACATGTGCCATGCTGGTGCGCTGCACCCACTAACGTGTCATCTAGCATTAGGTATATCTCCCAATGCTATCCCTCCCCCCTCCCCCCACCCCACAACAGTCCCCAGAGTGTGATATTCCCCTTCCTGTGTCCATGTGATCTCATTGTTCAATTCCCACCTATGAGTGAGAATATGCGGTGTTTGGTTTTTTGTTCTTGCGATAGTTTACTGAGAATGATGGTTTCCAATTTCATCCATGTCCCTACAAAGGACATGAACTCATCATTTTTTAAGGCTGCATAGTATTCCATGGTGTATATGTGCCACATTTTCTTAATCCAGTCTATCATTGTTGGACATTTGGGTTGGTTCCAAGTCTTTGCTATTGTGAATAGTGCCGCAATAAACATACGTGTGCATGTGTCTTTATAGCAGCATGATTTATAGTCCTTTGGGTATATACCCAGTAATGGGATGGCTGGGTCAAATGGTATTTCTAGTTCTAGATCCCTGAGGAATCGCCACACTGACTTCCACAATGGTTGAACTAGTTTACAGTCCCACCAACAGTGTAAAAGTGTTCCTATTTCTCCACATCCTCTCCAGCACCTGTTGTTTCCTGACTTTTTAATGATTGCCATTCTAACTGGTGTGAGATGATATCTCATAGTGGTTTTGATTTGCATTTCTCTGATGGCCAGTGATGATGAGCATTTCTTCATGTGTTTTTTGGCTGCATAAATGTCTTCTTTTGAGAAGTGTCTGTTCATGTCCTTCGCCCACTTTTTGATGGGGTTCTTTGTTTTTTTCTTGTAAATTTGTTTGAGTTCATTGTAGATTCTGGATATTAGCCCTTTGTCAGATGAGTAGGTTGCGAAAATTTTCTCCCATGTTTTAGGTTGCCTGTTCACTCTGATGGTAGTTTCTTTTGCTGTGCAGAAGCTCTTTAGTTTAATTAGATCCCATTTGTCAATTTTGGCTTTGGTTGCCATTGCTTTTGGTGTTTTAGACATGAAGTCCTTGCCCACGCCAATGTCCTGAATGGTAATGCCTAGGTTTTCTTCTAGGGTTTTTATGGTTTTAGGTCTAACGTTTAAATCTTTAATCCATCTTGAATTGATTTTTGTATAAGGTGTAAGGAAGGGATCCAGTTTCAGCTTTCTACATATGGCTAGCCAGTTTTCCCAGCACCATTTATTAAATAGGGAATCCTTTCCCCATTGCTTGTTTTTCTCAGGTTTGTCAAAGATCAGATAGTTGTAGATATGCGGCATTATTTCTGAGGGCTCTGTTCTGTTCCATTGATCTATATCTCTGTTTTGGTACCAGTACCATGCTGTTTTGGTTACTGCAGCCTTGTAGTATAGTTTGAAGTCAGGTAGTGTGATGCCTCCAGCTTTGTTCTTTTGGCTTAGGATTGACTTGGCAATGCGGGCTCCTTTTTGGTTCCATATGAACTTTAAAGTAGTTTTTTCCAATTCTGTGAAGAAAGTCATTGGTAGCTTGATGGGGATGGCATTGAATCTGTAAATTACCTTGGGCAGTATGGCCATTTTCACGATATTGATTCTTCCTACCCATGAGCATGGAATGTTCTTCCATTTGTTTGTGTCCTCTTTTATTTCCTTGAGCAGTGGTTTGTAGTTCTCCTTGAAGAGGTCCTTCACATCCCTTGTAAGTTGGATTCCTAGGTATTTTATTCTCTTTGAAGCAATTGTGAATGGGAGTTCACCCATGATTTGGCTCTCTGTTTGTCTGTTGTTGGTGTATAAGAATGCTTGTGATTTTTGTACATTGATTTTGTATCCTGAGACTTTGCTGAAGTTGCTTATCAGCTTAAGGAGATTTTGGGCTGAGACAATGGGGTTTTCTAGATAAACAATCATGTCGTCTGCAAACAGGGACAATTTGACTTCCTCTTTTCCTAATTGAATACCCTTTATTTCCTTCTCCTGCCTGATTGCCCTGGCCAGAACTTCCAACACTATGTTGAATAGGAGTGGTGAGAGAGGGCATCCCTGTCTTGTGCCAGTTTTCAAAGGGAATGCTTCCAGTTTTTGCCCATTCAGTATGATATTGGTTGTGGGTTTGTCATAGATAGCTCTTATTATTTTGAAATACGTCCCATCAATACCTAATTTATTGAGAGTTTTTAGCATGAAGGGTTGTTGAATTTTGTCAAAGGCTTTTTCTGCATCTATTGAGATAATCATGTGTTTTTTGTCTTTGGCTCTGTTTATATGCTGGATTACATTTATTGATTTGCGTATATTGAACCAGCCTTGCATCCCAGGGATGAAGCCCACTTGATCATGGTGGATAAGCTTTTTGATGTGCTGCTGGATTCGGTTTGCCAGTATTTTATTGAGGATTTTTGCATCAATGTTCATCAAGGATATTGGTCTAAAATTCTCTTTTTTGGTTGTGTCTCTGCCCGGCTTTGGTATCAGAATGATGCTGGCCTCATAAAATGAGTTAGGGAGGATTCCCTCTTTTTCTATTGATTAGAATAGTTTCAGAAGGAATGGTACCAGTTCCTCCTTG
Source organism: Homo sapiens (assembly GCF_000001405.40). Taxonomy (NCBI): domain Eukaryota; kingdom Metazoa; phylum Chordata; class Mammalia; order Primates; family Hominidae; genus Homo; species Homo sapiens. Next base: position 73,286,247 of record NC_000012.12, read on the forward strand.
TACCTCTGGTAGAATTCGGCTGTGAATCCATCTGGTCCTGGACTCTTTTTGGTTGGTAAACTATTGATTATTGCCACAATTTCAGAGCCTGTTATTGGTCTATTCAGAGATTCAGCTTCTTCCTGGTTTAGTCTTGGGAGAGTGTATGTGTCGAGGAATGTATCCATTTCTTCTAGATTTTCTAGTTTATTTGCGTAGAGGTGTTTGTAGTATTCTCTGATGGTAGTTTGTATTTCTGTGGGATCGGTGGTGATATCCCCTTTATCATTTTTTATTGTGTCTATTTGATTCTTCTCTCTTTTTTTCTTTATTAGTCTTGCTAGCAGTCTATCAATTTTGTTGATCCTTTCAAAAAACCAGCTCCTGGATTCATTGATTTTTTGAAGGGTTTTTTTGTGTCTCTATTTCCTTCAGTTCTGCTCTGATTTTAGTTATTTCTTGCCTTCTGCTAGCTTTTGAATGTGTTTGCTCTTGCTTTTCTAGTTCTTTTAATTGTGATGTTAGGGTGTCAATTTTGGATCTTTCCTGCTTTCTCTTGTAGGCATTTAGTGCTATAAATTTCCCTCTACACACTGCTTTGAATGCGTCCCAGAGATTCTGGTATGTGGTGTCTTTGTTCTCGTTGGTTTCAAAGAACATCTTTATTTCTGCCTTCATTTCGTTATGTATCCAGTAGTCATTCAGGAGCAGGTTGTTCAGTTTCCCTGTAGTTGAGCGGCTTTGAGTGAGATTCTTAATCCTGAGTTCTAGTTTGATTGCACTGTGGTCTGAGAGATAGTTTGTTATAATTTCTGATCTTTTACATTTGCTGAGGAGAGCTTTACTTCCAACTATGTGGTCAATTTTGGAATAGGTGTGGTGTGGTGCTGAAAAAATGTATATTCTGTTGATTTGGGGTGGAGAGTTCTGTAGATGTCTATTAGGTCTGCTTGGTGCAGAGCTGAGTTCAATTCCTGGGTATCCTTGTTGACTTTCTGTCTCGTTGATGTGTCTAATGTTGACAGTGGGGTGTTAAAGTCTCCCATTATTAATGTGTGGGAGTCTAAGTCTCTTTGTAGATCACTGAGGACTTGCTTTATGAATCTGGGTGCTCCTGTATTGGGTGCATAAATATTTAGGATAGTTAGCTCCTCTTGTTGAATTGATCCCTTTACCATTATGTAATGGCCTTCTTTGTCTCTTTTGATCTTTGTTGGTTTAAAGTCTGTTTTATCAGAGACTAGGATTGCAACCCCTGCCTTTTTTTGTTTTCCATTGGCTTGGTAGATCTTCCTCCATCCTTTTATTTTGAGCCTATGTGTGTCTCCGCACGTGAGATGGGTTTCCTGAATACAGCACACTGATGGGTCTTGACTCTTTATCCAACTTGCCAGTCTGTGTCTTTTAATTGCAGAATTTAGTCCATTTATATTTAAAGTTAATATTGTTATGTGTGAATTTGATCCTGTCATTATGATGTTAGCTGGTGATTTTGCTCATTAGTTGATGCAGTTTCTTCCTAGTCTCGATGGTCTTTACATTTTGGCATGATTTTGCAGCGGCTGGTACCGGTTGTTCCTTTCCATGTTTAGCGCTTCCTTCAGGAGCTCTTTTAGGGCAGGCCTGGTGGTGACAAAATCTCTCAGCATTTGCTTGTCTATAAAGTATTTTATTTCTCCTTCACTTATGAAGCTTAGTTTGGCTGGATATGAAATTCTGGGTTGAAAATTCTTTTCTTTAAGAATGTTGAATATTGGCCCCCACTCTCTTCTGGCTTGTAGGGTTTCTGCCGAGAGATCCGCTGTTAGTCTGATGGGCTTTCCTTTGAGGGTAACCCGACCTTTCTCTCTGGCTGCCCTTAACATTTTTTCCTTCATTTCAACTTTGGTGAATCTGACAATTATGTGTCTTGGAGTTGCTCTTGTCGAGGAGTATCTTTGTGGCGTTCTCTGTATTTCCTGAATCTGAACGTTGGCCTGCCTTGCTAGATTGGGGAAGTTCTCCTGGATAATATCCTGCAGAGTGTTTTCCAACTTGGTTCCATTCTCCACATCACTTTCAGGTACACCAATCAGACGTAGATTTGGTCTTTTCACATAGTCCCATATTTCTTGGAGGCTTTGCTCATTTCTTTTTATTCTTTTTTCTCTAAACTTCCCTTCTCGCTTCATTTCATTCATTTCATCTTCCATTGCTGATACCCTTTCTTCCAGTTGATCGCATCGGCTCCTGAGGCTTCTGCATTCTTCACGTAGTTCTCGAGCCTTGGTTTTCAGCTCCATCAGCTCCTTTAAGCACTTCTCTGTATTGGTTATTCTAGTTATACATTCTTCTAAATTTTTTTCAAAGTTTTCAACTTCTTTGCCTTTGGTTTGAATGTCCTCCCGTAGCTCAGAGTAATTTGATCGTCTGAAGCCTTCTTCTCTCAGCTCGTCAAAATCATTCTCCATCCAGCTTTGTTCTGTTGCTGGTGAGGAACTGCGTTCCTTTGGAGGAGGAGCGGCGCTCTGCGTTTTAGAGTTTCCAGTTTTTCTGTTCTGTTTTTTCCCCATCTTTGTGGTTTTATCTACTTTTGGTCTTTGATGGTGGTGATGTACAGATGGGTTTTCGGTGTAGATGTCCTTTCTGGTTGTTAGTTTTCCTTCTAACAGACAGGACCCTCAGCTGCAGGTCTGTTGGAATACCCTGCCGTGTGAGGTGTCAGTGTGCCCGTGCTTGGGGGTGCCTCCCAGTTAGGCTGCTTGGGGGTCAGGGGTCAGGGACCCACTTGAGGAGGCAGTCTGCCCGTTCTCAGATCTCCAGCTGCGTGCTGGGAGAACCACTGCTCTCTTCAAAGCTGTCAGACAGGGACACTTAAGTCTGCAGAGGTTACTGCTGTCTTTTTGTTTGTCTGTGCCCTGCCCCCAGAGGCAGGCAGGCCTCCTTGAGCTGTGGTGGGCTCCACCCAGTTCGAGCTTCCTGGCTGCTTTGTTTACCTAAGCAAGCCTGGGCAATGGCGGGCGCCCCTCCCCCAGCCTCGTTGCCGCCTTGCAGTTTGATCTCAGACTGCTGTGCTAGCAATCAGCGAGATTCCGTGGGCGTACGACCCTCTGAGCCAGGTGTGGGATATAGTCTCGTGGTGCGCCGTTTCTTAAGCCGGTCTGAAAAGCGCAATATTCGGGTGGGAGTGACCCGATTTTCCAGGTGCGTCCGTCACCCCTTTCTTTGACTCGGAAAGGGAACTCCCTGACCCCTTGTGCTTCCCAGGTGAGGCAATGCCTCGCCCTGCTTCGGCTCGCGCATGGTGCGCACACACACTGGCCTGCGCCCACTGTCTGGCACTCCCAAGTGAGATGAACCCGGTACCTCAGATGGAAATGCAGAAATCACCCGTCTTCTGCGTCGCTCAGGCTGGGAGCTGTAGACCGGAGCTGTTCCTATTCGGCCATCTTGGCTCCTCCCCCCTGTTTTATAGTTTTCAACTATACAATCTTTCACCTCCTTGATTAAATTTATTTCTAGGTATAATTTTTTGATGATATTATAAATGAGATTATTTTCTTAATTTCTTTTTCTGCTAAGTTGCTATCCTTGTATTAAAAATGCTACTGATTTTCATATGTTGATTTTTGTATCATGCAATTTTACTGAATTCATTATGATCTCCAAAATTCTTCAAACTTTAGCTAAACGTTCAGTTGTGTATCTGTATCTTTGGCATGCTTATAACTTTTTTTTTTTTTTTTTTTTGAGATGGATTCTCACTCTGTCACCCAGGCTGGAGTGCAGTGTCGTGATCTCGGCTCACTGCAACCTCCTCCTCCCGGGTTCAAACAATTCTCCAGCCTCAGCCTCCCAAGTAGCTGGGACTACAGGCACACGCCACTATGCTGCTATTTTTTTTTTTTATTTTTAGAAGAGACAGGGTTTCACCATGTTGGCCAGGATGGTCTCGATCTCCTGACCACCTGATCCATTCACCTCGGCCTCCCAAAGTACTGGGATTATAGGCATGAGCCAACGTGCCTGGCCGGCATGCTTATAACTTTTAACATTTCAGTTTTTGTTACATGGATTTCCCTTCATATTATTACTCCCAGCCCCACAAATTTTGAGGCTGGCCTGATTGAGAACAGAGAACCTGTCTAATCCTGGACTTTAGGGAAGTCTACTTGATGGTGTGACATTTAACTAAAAACTAAAAGGTGGGATGATATAAATTAGTAGAGAAAGAAAGAGTTAGATGTTGTAGGTAGAGGAAACAGCATATGAGAAGCTTTTATGTAAGAAGTGCAGCACATTGTACAGGACAGAAATTAAGTATATAGTTAGATTTCATAGGAACTTGTGGGTCATATTAAGGATTTTTATTAATTGAGAGGAGCAATGAGAAATCTTTGAAGAATACTAAGGAAGAAAGCAGTATATTTAAACATGTGTTTTAAGAAGATGTTTAAAAAAAGAGTGAGGAAAAACTTAGGAGAAGGCATGCTAGACATATAGGAAAAAGATAACTTAAACACAGGTGTGGAGATGTTAAAGATACTTTCCTGTCAGTTTCAGCCCTTTTTGGGTCTCTCACGTTTCTAGAGGAGTGGCCAAGACTTCTGTAAAGTTTCTTTTCCATTAACTGTTTAAGGTTTGTTATGATTCTCAAACAGCTGTATGGATGGAAGAAAATTTCAAAGTCACAAATTAGTGCCAACTGATTGAGGTGATTGAATTTCTTCTTAGTTCTCCTGATAGTTATAAAAATTTGGGACTATACAAATGTGTGTTTTACTCAATGATGGCTTGAGGTATGTTGATGTGAGAAATTTCTAACATTTTTTCAGTAGTATTACTGCTTTTGTAATACATGCTACTAATATGACTAGCAATACTAGAAGAGTGCTTTTCAAGTTTTGCAGCTGTGAAGAGAGAAATTTATATTCTAGTTAAACTAAAATAGTTTAGCTGTCTAGCTGATGGATGATGGCCAAAAAAATATATGTGTACCAGTCTATGGGTAATAACAAAATATATTCAACAGAATTTGATTACAGTGAAAGTATTTATCAATTGATCAACTTGTGGTTTGTAATGTTCCCTAATTCTAAGCCATGCAACCGTACATTCACACTTCTCAGGTACAGCTACCAACTGTCCTTTGATATCCAAGATATCTGCTAGGATGGTGCCACTCCTTGTTATTGAAATTTAAGGTCAGGTTTGAAGATTTGATGTATTTTGAATTTATATTGATGTAATGCAAAGTTAGGAATAATGATTTATAATTTGCCCCATGATCAGCAAGTTCTCCCATGTCATTTGTTACCTCTTCATCCTACATTGAAATTAACCCCATCATAAATTAAAATCACACTTTTTAGTTTATATCTGGAACCTATTCTGCTTGATGGATTTATTATCTTTCTAATTATTTCTAGACCAAAAGATTTTGATTAACATAGATTCAAAATATGAGTAAATTATCTGGTAAGATTTATCTCCCTGGTTCTGTACACTTCTCATTTTATGATGTTCCTACTGATTTCATATGTTTAATGTTCAAATATAACCTAATATATTTTTGTCAAATTAAAAATCCTTTTAGTAACTGGGATGAAATTCTATTCAATTTATAGATAAATTCAAGTAGAACTGACCTTTTTTAATATTCAATTATCTTTTTCAAAAATGTAGTACCTGAATTTTCTTGTATTGTTCCCATTTGCTAGCATTGTTTTATTAAGGGATTTTCTTTCTATAACGGTTTTACCAGGGTTAGATCCAAACTTGGAAATATATAATTAGGTATGAAAGTGGATATACAATTAGAGTCAACAAAATAAATCAGAACAAATCTCATGCTCCAAAGGCAGAAAAACATCATATGCATCACAAAATTCAGAAATATAATGTAACATTCTTTAAATTAACTAATTAAAAAAATTAATTAACATATTTAGATAATAAGCTTATCCTAAAATTTTGGCTAAATATCATTTGATTACTTATTTGTATGATGACAATTTTGTAATATTTTCTTTAGAGTGAAGAATATATTAATCCATCTTTCCTAGCATAGTTAATCTAAAGTAGTCTTTTTTTAATGGTTGATAGTTTCAGCCAGAAATACATATGGACCAATTGCTTTTCTTACAATTTTACAAGTTTAATGATTGGGAGAAATTTCCATAGACTAGCTATTGGCCCCACACATGTCAAATCTTGTTTCTCCTCAACTAAACCACACTTCCAGGACTAAGTGCCATAAGTAACATTTATATTATGATACAACATCACATCTGTACCTTTATGTCTTAACAATAGATGAAATACCACATTAGTGTAGGGATTTTTCTGGAAGCCATTCTTACACCAGAATGACTAGCAATAACTTAACTACACAGGAAAATAGCTGCAGTTCATGTAAGTAGATACAATAAATCCAAACATTATGTGCCTCCAAGTTTATTCTCCAGATTCTAAAATGCTCATGCCCATTCTAATGTATCAGAAGAGACAGAGTGGTGAAAACCAAGTACAATTTACCATTGAGATACTGTACACAACCAATTGAGTTAAAATCTTATTTTTAAAAATTTTTACAAAAGTAAATATCCATGTGAATATACTACTGAAGTCTTTCCTAAAACTCTGAAGTGAACTCATACAAGTGAGGACACTGAAGTTTAAGTTCCATTACCTTCACAGTAAACTTGCCTCTAGGTATTATGTTTTGGACTGAATGTTTGTGTCTTCCTAAGATTCACATGTTGAAATACTAACCCCTAATTTTATGGTATTTGGAGGTGGGAACTTTGAGAGGTAATTAGGTTTAGATGAGGTCACAAGGAGGGGACCCTCATGATGGGATTCATAGTCTTATAAAAAGAGGAGGGAACATGGGCAACTCTCTCTTGCTCTCCCTTTCTCTCTCTTTGCATGTATGCATCAAAGAAAGTCATGTGAGGACATAACCAGAGAGAGGGCCCTCACCAAGAACATAACTGATGTGGTTTGGCTATGTCCCTACCCAAATCTCATCTTGAATTGTAACTCCCACAATTCCTATGTGTTGTGGAAGGAATGTGGTGGGAGGTGATTGAATTGTGGGGGTGGGTCTTGTGATAGTGAATGAGTTTCATGAGATCTGATCATTTTAAAAATGGGAGTTTCCCTGCACAACCTCTCTTTGCCTGTTGCCATCCATGTAAGATGTGACTTGCCCCTCTGCGCCTTCCACCATGATTGTGAGGCTTCCCCAGCCACATGGCACTGTAAGTCCATGAAACCTCTTTCTTTTGCAAATTGCCCAGTCTCAGGTATGTCTTTATCAGCAGTATGAAAAATGGATTAATACAGTAAATTGGTACCAGTAGAGTGGGGTGCTGCTGTAGATACCTGAAAATGTGGAAACAACTTTGGAACTGGGTAACAGGAAAGGGTTTGAACAGTTTGGAAGGCTCAGAAGAAGACAGGAAAATGTGGGAAAGTTTGAAACTTCCTAGAGACTTGTTGAATGGCTTTGCTCAAAATGCTGATAGTGATATGGACAATAACTTCCAGGCTGTGGTGGTATCAGATGGAGATGAGGAACTTGTTGGGAACTGGAGCAAAGGTGACTCTTGTTATGTTTCAGTAAAGAGATTGGTGGCATTTTGTCCCTGCTCTAGAGATTTGTGGAACTTTGAACTTGAGAAAGATGATTTAGGGTATGTGGTAGAATAAATTTCTAAGCAGCAAAGCATTCAAGAGGTGACTTGGGTGCTGTTAAAGGAATTCAGCTTTAAAAGGGAAGCAGAGCATTAAAATCTCAGAAAATTTGCAGCCTGACAATGCAATAATAAAGAAAATTCCATTTTCTGAGAAAAATTCAAGCTGGCTCCAGAAATTTGCATAAGTAATGAGGAGACAAATGTTAATGCCCAAGACTATAGAGAAAATGTCTCCAGGGCACGTCAGAGACCTTACTGGTAGCCCTTCTCATTACATGTCTAGAGCCTTAGGAGGAAAAAGTGGTTTCATGAGCCAGGCCCAGGGTCCTAGCACTGTGTGCAGCCTAGGGACTTGGTGCCCTGCATCCCAGCCACTCTAGCCATAGCTGAAAGGCACCAATGTAGAGCTCAGGCCATGGCTTCAAAGGGTGCAAGCCCCAAGCCTTGGAAGATTTCACTTGGTGTTGAGCCTGTGAGTGCACAGAAGTGAAGAATTCGGGTTTGGGAACCTCTGCCTGGATTTCAGAGGATATACAGAAATGCCTGGATGTCTAGGAATAAGTTTGCTGCCGGGGCTGGCCCCTCATGGAGAACATCTGCTAGGGCGTGCAGAAGGGAAATGTGGGGTTGGAGCCTCCACACACAGTCCCTACTGAGGCACTGCCTAGTGGAGCTATGAGAAGAGGATCATCGTCCTCCAGACCCAAGAATGGTAGATCTACTGACAGCTTGCACTGTGCACCTGGAGAAGCCCAGACACTCAACGCCAGCCTGTGACAGCAGCCAGGAGAAAGGCTGTACCCTGCAAAGCCATAGGGGCGGATGTACCTCAGATCATGGGCACTCATCTCTTGCATCAGTGTGACCCTGATGTAAGACTTGGAGTGAAAGGAGATCATTTTGGAGCTTCAAGATTTGACTGCCCTGCTGGACTTCAGACTTGCATGGGGCCTGTAGCCCCTTTGTTTTGGCCAATTTCCCCTATTTGGAACAGCTGTATTTACTCAATGCCTGCACCACCATTGTATCTAGGAAGTAGCTAACTTGCTTTTGATTTTACAGGCTCACAGGTAGAATTGACTTGCTGGGTCTCAGATGAGATATTGGACTGTGGATTTTTGAGTTAATGTTAAAATGAGTTAAGACTTTGGGGGGCGGTTGGGAAGGCGTGATTTGTTTTGAAATGTGAGGATATGAGATTTGGGAGGGGCCGGGGCAGAATGATATGGTTTGGCTGTGTCCCCACGCAAATCTCATCTTGAATTGTAACTCCCACAGTTCTCATGTATCGTGGGAGGAACCTGGTGGGAGGTGATTGAATCATGGGGTGGGTCTTCCTGCACTGTTCTCATGATAGTGAATGAGTCTCACAAGATGTTCCATAATTTTAAAAATGGGAGTTTCCCTGCACAAGCTCTTTTGCCTGCTGCCATCCATATAAGATATGACTTGCCCTTCCTTGCCTTTCACCATGATTGTGAGGCTTCCCCAGCCACGTGGAACTGTAAGTCCATTAAACCTTTCTTTTGTAAATTGCCCCATCTTGGGTATGTCTTGATCAGCAGCATGAAAGCAGACTAATACAATAACCATGTTGGAATCTTGATCTCAGATTGTCAGCCTCCAGAGCTGTGAGAAATAAATTGTTTAAGCCACCCTCTCTGTGATATTCTGTTATAGCAGCCTAAACTGTTAGAGACATCTTGCATAATTATTTTAAGCATCTTATCTTTTAGTTTAAATCCTGTATATGAATGTACATATAGCCATTTAAATTAATATTGTAAGACACCATCCTACTCCTATATTGTCTATAATAATAAAAGATATGATAAAATCCCATTCTTTGGATAGTTCTCACTTGGTAGTGGTATGTCTATTACTATTATAGACAATACAGGAGTGGTATGTTCAGTGGTATGTTCTATCCCTTCATAGTAGTTGTTTCTACCCTTCTTCGCTTCTATGTAGCCATTAAGTTTTCACCAGATATTTCATAGTACGCTGGTTGGAAGGGAAGGGCAGTTTCACCTGAACTTTTGTGGTCTCTTCATTTTAGCATTTCTCTTATGTTCCACAAAGTCTCTATTACTGGGGTAATTAGCACTGTATAATTATGATTATTCTGCTTTTTCTTTCTGTTTTTCTCCCAATATGCACAGAGATAAATGGTAAAAAAACTAAAGTTATCTCTCCCTTCTCTGACAAGTTTGGTAGAATAGGGAAGTTTCACTTTAGTAAATTTTCCCAGTACTCCCCCAACACTCCAGGATGCCTCTAAAACTGCTAAGTCTGCTTCTTTCCAAATTGAGAGTTATACTGAGAACTGTTAGTGCCCTGCCTGGACCTCTTTGGATTATTTTTGTAGTTCTCTGAATCTACCCTCAGCTTTTTTGTGCTTTGCTTCTAATGGCTTTGTAAAGAGTATGTTTGTTTGTTTTTCCGCAAAACTCACAGAATCATTAGTTATCTTTTGGGAAAGACCAAAAGCTTCAAACCTAGAATAAAGTAACCCCTCCTTTTTTATTGCTAAACACAAAACCAGGGAATGTATTTTCAGACTTGCTTAGTTTTAGGCTTTTTGAAAATTGATAGTGAAATATTTGCCTTGTCCCACATATTGTTGTTTTTATGTTTTTCTATGTCTGTGACCAACATAAATGTCAGAAATATATAAAATGTATGTAATGGCCAGGGGCAGAAACAGTTTTGCAGACTTAATTTTATTCTATTATAGTCTGGAAAGTTTTTCGCTTTTCTGTTTTCTGGTGTCCTTACTTAGGGAATATTAATAGATTAGAAGAGTAACTTTGTGGATTCCAGAGGATGGAAGTAGTAAAATGTTTATTTCCTTGAGGCAGCTTCATAGCCAGTGACTGACCTATACAGGAGTATGAATGACCAACTTTATTGACTCACAGGTGGCAAACTAAGGTGTAATTTCCTCAAATTAATTCCTCAAACTGAGGTATAAACTCCAGGATTCCCCTTGTAGGTTAGCCTGGTAATTGAAAGTGGAATAATCTACAATCACACCCTTGCTTGGTTTTTCCTTCACTGTCCTCCTCCACTCTCTTACTGGCTTATCCTGAGAGCACCTTTTTAATAAAACACTTGTACATCAATCCCCACCTCATAGTTTGCTTTGAGATAACTTAAACTAAGATAGTGTATTATTGAAAACTTTACCAGCATTCTAACCTTGATCAACCACAAAATTTACTCTTGTTTTCCACGGCTGCTGTTTTCCAAAGGTTTTGTCCTGGGGTTGTATCTGTTTCCTAGTCTGTTGTAATGGGCAACACACACACACACACACACACTCTCACACTCATATGCACCCAAAACAACTACTCTGAAATCAGGATGAAAAAGCTGGATATTCAGGCATAGATTATCTCTGATTAGTCCTATTCTCAACTTAATTTTGAGTTCAGTGTCTGGAATATTTTGAAGGTTTGGAAATTTTAGATAATCAATTAATATAATATTTTTATATTATTAATTATGAGAATCCAAATATAGTTACTAAGGGAGAACAGTCTCTATTTATTTTTTTATTATATCTATGTATCTGTATCTATCTATCTAGCTAGCTAGCTGTCTATCTTTCTTTCTATCTACTTGTCATCTATCTATTGCAGAAAGGCAGATAGCTTATATAATGTAGCCATCTCAAGTCATAGAATCAAAGGACTAATTGGCCTATGGACATTTTATTTTTCTCATTCTTTAAAGCTACTAATTGAGAAGTCAATAATATCACCAACAGCGGCCTTGGTTCAGTAGTTTATGTAGCTGAGATTGATAGCACGGTCAACTATGCTGTTATCAGCCTGAAAAGCCCAAAAGCAATCAGCTATATACCATGTGCAGAAATTTACTCTGTGACATATATACTTTTAACCTTTTTTAAAAAACAACTCTCATATTTCAGTATTTTCTAAAGTGAGTGATAAATGACAAGTGGAAAAAGAAGTTCAAAGAAAGTGTGTTTAAGAAAAACATTTGAAGTGCACTTTAGTAGTCACAACTAGAAAAACCATAGTTTTTTATCTACTATTCACATAAAAAATATGCTAGGTGATGCAAAGTCGGAGAAGGTATAATACAAATGCTGATCATTTATTCTCAGGAGGAACTTGAACTCTAGTTGAGTGGTTCCTGATCTTTTTTCCCCTCCTCTCTGATACCTATCTTCAGATGAGTCACATTTAATAAGCAGACTTACAGTTTGATTCTCTAAGTCATTTTTCCTCAAATTACTTAATCCATATAGTTTTAATAAACATGAAAATATTGCTTCCAAATTGTTGATATGCTTTGCCTTTCAATCTGCTCTATAATGTTATAGAAAATAACTGCTCCATTATAGTTTTTCCAGACTTATTTGTCATTTTCACCAAAATCTTTCCATCAAACTAAAAAATGTAAATATTGTTCTATCTGCAGAAAAAAATCCAATGCTTGTTTTATCATAAAGAGGACAATTGATAATTCTTGCCAATTTTATATTGAACATATTAAGAATTAATATAGTAGAGTTGACTATATATTTTCTTGCTTTTGACAGAACACTTTTTATTGTAAGAAATTGTGTAAAGTTAATATTATAAAACTAAATTTAAAATTCTAAATGTGAAGAAAAATCTACTGAGGAATAATAGCATTGCTAACACATTAACTGTAGCATTCTAGAAAAAATAATTGGGCCAATTGTTCAACATCATTAATCATTAGAGAAATACAAAAAAAATCCATAATTAAATACTACTATACACCTAATAAAATACCTAAAATTTAAAATACTAGTATTACCAAATATTGGCAAGAATATGGACAACAGGAACTTCGTACATTTCTTAGCCCACTGTAAAATGGTAAAACCGCTATGTAAAACTGACTGGCAGTATCATACAGTGTCAAACATTACCTATTTTTATGACTTAGCAATTCCATTCCTAAGTATTTTCACAAGACAGATAAAATATTTGTTCATAAAAAGTTTTTTCCAATAATGTACTTAGAAGCCTTACTCAAAACAGCTCCAAATTGAAAACAACTTAAATCAACAGGAAAATTAGAAACATTGGTAAATAGACAAAACTACTAATATTAACACAATATACAACAATAAACATGAGAGAAAGAAGACAGATAAAAAGCATACACTCTGGATGATTCTATTTGTATGAAATTCTAGAATAACCACAATAATCAGAAAAATGTTGCCTCAAGGATGGTATTGACTTGAAGCAGTCATTGAAAAACCTTCAGGGAGGATGGAAATATCTTGAGCCATATAGTTTACATCTGTCAAAACTTATAAAACTGTACACTTAAAATCTTAGCTTTTAAATGTATGCAAAATACACCTGAATTTAGAAAAACAATGGAGATTTTTAAAAAGAAGACAGAAAACTGAAAGAACTATGTCCAGAAGCTATGCTAGGTACTTTACTTGTGTTATCTATTTCATCTTTACAGCAGTGCAGTGAAATATATTTCTCCTTTCCCTTCCCTTTCCTTCCCTTCTCTCCCTTCACCCCCCTCCCCTCCCCTCCCTTCTCCTCCCTTCCCCTCCCTTCCTTCCCCTCCCCTCCCCTTCCTTTCATTTTCTTCTTTTTATTTTTTATTTTTATTTTTTGAGATGGAGTCTTGCTCTGTCACCCAGGCTGGAGTGCAGTGGCGTGATCTCGGCTCACTGCAATCTCCAACTCCTGGGTTCAAGCGATTCTCCTGCCGCAGCCTTCTTCTGAGTAGCTGGGACTACAGGCGGGAGCCACCATGCCCAGCTAATTTTTTTGTATTTGTAGTAGAGACAGGCTGTCACCATGTTAGCCAGGATGGTCTCAATCTCCTGACCTTGTGATCCGCCCACCTTGGCCACCCAAAGTGCTGGGATTAAAGGCGTAAGCCACGCGCCCCGCCTCTATTTTTCTAATATATAAAGATATCATAAATCAGAGGCATTGATTTATTTGACCAACTTCTATAGAAAAATAATGAGAGTAATTATTCAATCTGAATTACGATTTTTAAAGCTGTTGCCTTTTCCATTTTAATAGTGGATTAGCTAATTAAGTATTGTATTAATGTAAAATTGTGAACAGATTAAAAAGAATATGGAAGACATTGTGAAAGACTTAGAAAATTCAGAATAAACACAAAAATAAGATAAGCCAAAAACTAGTACTGAAAAAATGAAAAATAATTAACAGAAAAATATTATTAAAGGAAGGAAATTTACTGTTCATTGTGAGAGATTTAAAATATAAAGAATTAAAATTTATAACATTAAATGAAACAAATTATACTAGAGAACACCAGAGAAAAGATATGAAAAGGAAAAAAAAAAAACAGAGCAACGTGATCAAATAGATTGTGCACAGCAGTCTCAGGACAAGCTGCAACTCGCTCTCACTATGATTTTTGGTAAGCTGTTTAACCTCTGCCTTATTTTTCCCACATGTAAAAAGTAGAAATTCTAATAATGACTTTCTTTACAATATTATGGGGAAGTTTAATTAGGTAATGCTCTCTAGGAGCTTTGAAGATTAACAGCCTTAAATGAGTGCTAAGTATAAAACACAAAACCAAAGAGACGCAATCAGAAGTTATACAAGTCAGAGAGATGAAAGGAGGAAGATAAAATTATAATAGAGTTGGAAAGCAGGGAAAGATATGAAGGAGCACAGGTGATGAGCTGGGAAAAAATTAACTTCAAGTACTCACATGGAACCAAATATATTTTAAAAGATGCTGACATGTATTAACTCAGTAAAAATATAAGATTCTGAAAATGTACATCAATGTTATTTGTACTGCAAAAAAAAAAAAGAAAAGTGACTATTTTCTTTGCAAGGTCACAGAATGTGTTGTATTCATCATATCTATCACTTCCAAAGTTGTCCCCTTTCATTTTTGTCAAATCTACTTTTAGGTGTCACCTGCCTATCCAGTGTGAGACCTTTGTTTCCACATTCCACTTATCCTTATCACCTACTCTAAATGTGTGAGATTCACAAAGTCAACCCAAAATAAGATGGATGGTACTCGGTGACCACAAAGGGCTTCAATGAACTGTGAAACAGAGAAACGAACCAGGCTCTAGGAAGAAAAGATTGGATGGACTAAGAAACTAAAGCCAGTCAGGGTAGTGAGCTTTACTCTATAATTTCTTCCAATCAAATGAGAATTTGAAAGAGTTAAAAAAAATAAAGACTGAATCGGAGAGATAATAGTACTTTAAAATGCTTTGTTTTAACATGAATAATTTAATTTAAATATAAGTGTGGAATATAATTAGCATATTTAACAGGAGGTACCACATGAACCACAGGTACCATGTGAGTTCTAAGAAGAAGCAGAATATTTAACAGTGGATACCACAAGGACACTGACAGGTCAGAACAGGCGATGGTACATGCCCAGGATATGTTAGAGCTGAGTAGAACCAATGGTAAGCAAAACTGTAAGGTTGCCTTAGTTTAATAATTCCCAGGATCTCCTTCCTTCCTCCACATACCTGGTCTCTGAATTACTATTCTACCATCTTCATGCTTCCCGCTGGTCTTAGATGCAATCATTTTATCATCTTCCTGACCCTAATGCAATGATCCACATTATCTTTTGGCATCTCAATGTTATCAAAATTTGAATTTCTTGTCTTAAATTACTTTTATGGAAAAACGTGATCTGATAAATTAACACACTAAGGCATCATGAAATTCAGTAACACACTGGTGAGCTACTCCTCTCATGACCTGTCACAACCCATTCAACTTGATAACTCAAATGCAGCTGAAGTACAATGAGATAAGCCAATGGAATTCTCTAAAGGAAAAATAGGAGGCTTTGTAGTCTTTTGACAGCTACTTTGGAGCAGCAGTTAGAATCCGTCAAATCCAATGATTTATTTTTCAATATGTCTATTTCTCCTTGAGATGTTCTAACTTGTAAAATAACACTTATAAATGTAAGCTTATTTGAGTCCAATGCTTAGGCACCCCCCCTTTTTTTTTTTTTTTTTTGAGACAGAGTCTCACTCTGTCCCCCAGCCTGGAGTGCAGTGGCACGATCTCGGCTCACTGCAAGCTCTGCCTCCTGGGTTCACGCCATTCTCCCTGCCTCAGCCTCCCAAGTACCTGGGACTACAGGTACCTGCCACCACGCCTGGCTAATTTTTTGTATTTTTAGTAGAGGTGGGGTTTCACCATGTTAGCCAGGATGGTCTCGATCTCCTGACCTTGTGATCCGCCCTTCTCGGCCTCCGAAAGTGCTGTGATTACAGGCGTGAGCCACCGCGCCCGGCCACTTTTGAAATTATTATTTCTGGAATCCACTACTTCTCTTGAAATTCACTCTACAGTTACAGTTACATACTTTCTTATCTTGCCTTCTGAATTATGAATGATAATATCATACCTGAGTCATCATTGTATGTCATGGTAATGAATATAGTATGGCAGGTTAGGTAATTGACCTATGTTAGAAATATGGCTGTAACCCCCTAATAATTTTTTTTTTAATGTTTGAATGATGTAATGAATGAAAGATGGTAGGTGAGGGAAATAGATTCTATTCAAGAATCTCTTGGTGTTGCCCAAAATAAGTTAGGATGTCAGTTAAATTGAACTCACTTTTTAAGACTCTGTAATGGAGTCTTTAGGCATGTTGATATGCTAAAACTCAAACTTCTCAGCTAGGAACTAAGTTTTACAGGGTCTTGGTTCAAGTATATGCTTCATCTTTAGTGGTCAGTGTGTACACTTAGGTGCCCAGGGCAGGCATGTTAGTCAAAATAGATGTTTTTTGCCATTTCTTCACTGTGCCATTACATTTCTCACACTTCACTCTGTTTTGAATGCAGTTACCACACTTCCCTCTCACATACCTGTCCAAATTTATGTTTAGTAGTGCTCCTGTGAAACATTTTTATTTCCCTATTAATGCACTTTTAACATCTATTTCATGTTATTTGTGGTTTATATCTCTTGAGGACAAGAATCATGGCATATCCATCTTTGTACACCCCACATCTTTTAGCAGAGTGTCAGTGAGTGACGTGGCCTCCCTTGAGGACATCACTGTGGGATCATCTTCAGTAATGTCAGTCATCAGACTTTGAGGAACTAAAGAAACTGAGCCAAGTCTTGCTTTGAATGAATGATTTTATATAGACTCACCGAGACCAACAGTCTCCAGAAATTACTTCAAAGGCAAGAAGTGATATAAAGCTAATAATCCTATAGTAAATTTAGACAAATATAAATTATTTGTTCATGAATGAGAAAATTCTAGGTGTTTTCAAAAGCTGACTAAAATATCTGAAAGAATTATTTAAAAGAGAATTTTTGGAACAAGGTATAATTGTGCCAAGGGGTTCTGAGTATGATTACAACAAACAGAAACAAACACTCAATTAATATATTTACCTAAGCAGCTAATTTCCTCCTAGAAGGAAAATGGCACTTAATTAATTTGGCTGAACAAGACTTCTAACTGTGAATTCTCAGCTATGCTGCTAATGGGGTCACCTAAAAGATCAGCTAGAAAAGCAGAAATTATTAAAGGGAAGAATTGGAAAAAAAAAACTTATGTATGCCAAGGATTTTCTAATTAGTAACAATTACTTGATAAAGTTATTACCCTGTTTTAAATGCATTATTAGAATTATCTACCTAGAGGAGAATTGGTAGAAAGGGAATTGGATTAAATATAAGAAGTTCATTCAGGTTCAATTGGTCTGAAAGGAACCTGCTAACTTTTGGTTGTCTCTGGTGCCATCCCACATTCCCCTGCTAGCAGGTAGAAAGTGGCTCACCCTTGAATCTTATTCTTTCTCTCTTATGTAAAACGAGGAGAGTTGGATTGATAAAATATAAAAGGAAAGAAAAACTGCTACCCATGTCCAGGAGCTATTGAAATAATTTTGCTGAATGTAACATTTTAGAAAACTTCAGAAGAATATTTTCAGCAACGATAGAAAATGCCTTGCTTTGATGTTAGTTCAGAGATATCCAACTTTACTGGTCAATGTCATAGAGTGTCTGAATCAAATTCAAAATATTAAAGTGAACAAAATACAAATGCAAGTGAATTACACTGACAATTTGGCATTGAGATCTACATTTTAAGGCTTTTCTACTACAAAAATTAGGAATTAGTCAACTATGTCTGTAAATTAAACATGTGTTTGGATAGATTTTGGAAGTATGTAAATATAGAGTGACAAGTTAACTTTTCAACACCATCAGATGTTTTTGACATTGTTTTATAGCTATGTCAGATAAACATATTTGTTAAGCAGTCTCAGGATACAAAATCAACGTACAAAAATCACAACCATTCTTATACACCAATAACACACAAACAGAGCCAAATCATGAGTGAACTCCCATTCCCAATTGCTTCAAAGAGAATAAAATACGTAGGAATCCAACTTACAAGGGAGGTGAAGGACCTCTTCAAGGAGAACTACAAACCACTGCTCAATGAAATAAAAGAGGATACAAACAAATGGAAGAACATTCCATGCTCATGGGTAGGAAGAATCAATATCATGAAAATAGCCATACTGCCCAAGGTAATTTATAGATTCAATGCCATCCCCATCAAGCTACCAATGACTTTCTTCACAGAATTGGAAAAAACTACTTTAAAGTTCATATGGAACCAAAAAAGAGCCCGCATCACCAAGTCAATCCTAAGCCAAAAGAACAAAGCCAGAGGCATCAGGCTACCTGACTTCAAACTATACTACAAGGCTACAGTAACCAAAACAGCATGGTACTGGTACCAAAACAGAGATATAGATCAATGGAACAGAACAGAGCCCTCAGAAATAACGCCACATATCTACAATTATCTGATCTTTGACAAACCTGAGAAAAACAAGCAATGGGGAAAGGATTTCCTATTTAATACATGGTGCTGGGAAAACTGGCTAGCCATATGTAGAAAGCTGAAACTGGATCCCTTCCTTAAACCTTATACAAAAATTGATTCAAGATGGATTATAGACTTAAACGTTAGACCTAAAACCATAAAAACCCTAGAAGAAAACCTAGGCATTACCATTCAGGACATGGGCATGGGCAAAGACTTCATGTCTAAAACACCAAAAGCAATGGCAACAAAAGCCAAAATTGACAAATGGGATCTAATTAAACTAAAGAGCTTCTGCACAGCAAAAGAAACTACCATCAGAGTGAACAGGCAACCTACAAAATGGGAGAAAATTTTTGCAACCTACTCATCTGACAAAGGGCTAATATCCAGAACCTACAATGAACTCAAACAAATTTACAAGAAAAAAACAACCCCATCAAAAAGTGGGCAAAGGATATGAACAGACACTTCTTAAAAGAAGACATTTATGGAGCCAAAAGACACATGAAAAAATGCTCATCACTGGCCTTCAGAGAAATGCAAATCAAAAGCACAATGAGATACCATCTCACACCAGTTAGAATGGCAATCATTAAAAAGTCAGGAAACCACAGGTGTTGGAGAGGATGTGGAGAAATAGGAACACTTTTACACTGTTGGTGGGACTGTAAACTAGTTCAACCATTGTGGAAGTCAGTGTGGTGATTCCTCAGGGATCTAGAACTAGAAATACCATTTGACCCAGCCATCCCATTACTGGGTATATACCCAAAGGACTATAAAACATGCTGCTATAAAGACACATGCACACATATGTTTATTGCGGCACTATTCACAATAACAAAGACTTGGAACCAAACCAAATGTCCAACAATGATAGACTGGATTAAGAAAATGTGGCACATATACAACATGGAATACTATGCAGCCATAAAAAATGATGAGTTCATGTCCTTTGTAGGGACATGGATGAAATTGGAAATCATCATTCTCAGTAAACTATCGCAAGGACAAAAAACAAAACACCACATGTTCTTATTCATAGATAGGAATTGAACAATGAGAACACATGGACCCAGGAAGGGGAACATCACACTCTGGGGACTGTTGTGGGGTGGGGGGACGGGGGAGGGATAGCATTAGGAGATATACCTAATGCTAAATGACGAGTTAATGGGTGCAGCACACCAGCATGGCACATGTATACATATGTAACTAACCTGCACATTGTGCACATGTACTCTAAAACTTAAAGTACAATAATATTAATAATTAAAAAAAATATTTGTTCAGCATGTAATAAGAAATTTATGGCATTTATGGAGAATCAGATGTGTGGTAGTATAAGAGTCAAAGGGCTATTTGAATAATTAAGTTTGCTTAAAGGGAAGCTCTAGGGCTATGGAAATATCCATTATCAAACAAAAAAAAAATCCGTTCCAAATTCTGCAACTCCCATTTGAGGCAATAAATAATAATTGCACTCATCTATTGTATTGCTAAGTGTTGCTGCTTTATATTCCCCTTTCACTGAGGCAACTCAAAGACTTAAGATGCTTATAGATATAACCAAGAGAAAAGAAAAGCTCCGGAGAGTATAACAAGGTTCAAAATTGAAGAAAAAACTTTGAAGAGAGATTTTTTGTTTTTTTGTTTTAGGAGAATAGAAGAGGTAAGTCACCACTTCAATTACAGTTTATTCAGTACTTGGATATTCTAACAATTTAAACAAGATGTGACATAATGCTTACCTAAGTCTATTTTCTCCCTACCATGCTTAGCTCTAAATAATCAACTTACCACAGGGAAAATCTGATCTGAATTTAGAGAGGGTTCTTATATCCCTTACACACAGTTATGATAGAGGTACGGAATAACAACCATAATTTGGCAAGTACCTGTATTTGCTATGAGCAGCTACGGTGCAATTCTTGAAATCATCTATAACCCACATAATCATGGGGTCCAACTGACTATAAAAATAGATACACTTTGTGAAATATTATTCATGAGCTATTAACCACAAATGCACATATGTTGTAATTAATATTTATCAGCTATGGAAAAATCAGTAGGCAGTATTTTGGTTCAAATTTAAATAAATTCTTTTTAAATGCAACTAAGTCATGCTTGGAAGAGCAAAATGTTCTGTATGGAGTGCTAACTCTGTGTCACACACTGTTCTATGATGATAATCTATTGTGAACATTTTTTTATAGGAGTAAGTACAATTTTAAACAAAATCATTGTTATTTTTTTCCTGCTATTAAATTGTATAGATGTAATTTATGCCATTTAACAATTTTTCTCTCTTGGAAAGTTAGGTAGGTGGTTTCTAATTTTATCATATTATAACAAAGTTCTTTTGAGTATTCTCAGGAGGAAAAAAATAGTTTCTTTTATACCTGGATGGAGAGGTATGGGGCAATTCCTAGGAGTGAATTTGTTATAACAAAGATTGTGTGCATTAAAAAAAATTATAGGTATTAGAAAATTTTCCTTAAAAAAACCTTTATCACTTTTCTAGCCACATGACTGATGATATTACGTTCTACTCATGTCTAAGGAAGTGTCTCTCTGAAAAGGATTTAAGCGTAAATTTCCCAATTTACACTCACCAGACCTAGTAGAATTGTTTACTCAAAACCAATTTGCTGAGTAAGTATTTTAAATAAATTCCTTATACTTGAATTACAGTGTGGCAATTTTATACTCTGTTCTTCCTTTCCTTCCTACCACCTCATATATCAACCTTATTTTCTATATATGTGCCAGTCTTCTCTATTAGAAAATAAAATCCTGCCTTTTATCCTGAGTGTTTTATTCACCTTTATTTTCCTTTCAGCTCCTAGCACAATGTTTTAAAAATTCTAACTACTCAGCAGGTGTTTGCTGAATAAAAATTAGCCATGGAAAATACATACATACACTGTATGTATATATTTATATATATCCATATCCAACATATCAATGTGGATATATGTGTGTTCATTTACATGTCAACATATAAACTGATATAACAGTTTATAAATTCATATGCATATTCATATATAATTTAATACTAGAGCGATATTTCCTTTCTCAGTTGCATGCCAAATATTTTAAGCAGATACTGAGTTTCAAATCTAAGAATGCTAAACAGAAATGACATCTTTGTTTTAGGGGATCTTTTTTCTGAATTTGCAAAGACAATGCCACCTTAGATGTTTCTATCTCTAGAGGAGGCAAATTTAGATAAAAAGAAAAAGAAAACCCTAGAGTGTTCCATTAAATGAAATAAGTTTGGTGGCAATAAATTCACTGAAAGTGTAATGCAGACCATTTCATGCTAAACACCCAATACAGATTTTGCCTTCATGTAAATTTTGCTGGCTCTGCATACCTGGATAGAAACTGATAGTAACTTCCTAGCATCATCTTCTGGGCTTGCTTGGAGAACAGCTGTGATTTTTCTACTATTACAGCTGATGGTTGACAGCTAATCCTAATGGGAAAGCAATGCCACATTTGCTAATCCTAAAAGAGAAGCAAAACCACTTTCACTTTCAATCTGAAAATCCAGAATCAGATGAGTTTTTTTTTAAACGAGATGCCACTCTCAATTTTATCCCAGTAAATATAAGATTGTGTATGTTTATCTGTGAACATAAATATTTCAAGTCACTTGCTGTGTTTAAGAATGTATTTGAAGTTATTTTCCCCCATATTATTTAAATGACAGCCATTTTCACAAGTTTATTTAAAAGTCCCACAAAATATATCACAAACTATTAGAAAAGTGACAACTATTTCTAAACTACCAATTTATTTTTTCTTAAAATTTTAGGTTACATTATGCTGCTTAAAATTCAAATTAATAAATATAAATTCATATATTGTTTTCAAAATTGGGTTTACAAGAAGAAGACAGTATTAGGAACTAGATAGCTAATTTATATACTTATTGATAAAAAGTCATTGGCAACTAAGATTTAACAATATTTTATATGTTAGGAAACATTTTATCATATATATCATGGAGAAATCCACAAATAAGTTCTATTTTTATTAGAATATACATTTTGGCTTTGCAGATGATGTCACCTTCATTATGAAAGGATTGAGTCAGGTGTGTGGTAGAGCTGACTCACACTGGCCTAGCACTAGAGCTGATTATTAAACTTTCAAGTATTTTACCAGACAGTTGGTAGCTTAAAATGGGCCACATTGGGAGTATTTACACCATGGAAGTTGGCAAACAATACAATTCCACTCCACTCAACCCATACCATTGTAAACGTTTATCAGGACACCACTGGGTTGGAATTTGTTCTATAATCCTTGCTATTCACAAAATTCTAGAATTTATTTTCTTCTGATTTCTTCAAATATACAATAGTTACTATCCCAGAACTAGTGGAATTGAGATTTAAATACAAGCTTACCTATTAAAAAGTAGTCATTTCGACTATACTTTTATTTCTTTTCTTTTTTTCAGTTCTTTCTTTATGATTTTATACTTTTTTTTTCAACTTTCATATTAGATTCAGGAGACACATGTGCAGGATTTTTACTTGGGCATATTGTGCTACTAATGCTGAGGGTGTGAATGATCCTGTCAGCCTAATACCAAGCATAGTATCCAATAGGGCAGTTTTTCAAACCTTGCCCACTCCCTACCGCCACCATCTAGTAGTCCCCGGTTTCTAGTGTTGCTGTCGTTATGTCAATGAGTACCTACTGTTTAGATCCCACTTATAAGTGAAAACACATAGCATTTGGTTTTCTGTTTCTGTGTTAGTTTGTTTAGGGTAATGGCCTCCAGTTTCATCTGTGTTGCTGCAAAGGAAATAACTTCATTTTTATGGCTGTGTAATATTCCATAGGGTATATAGACCACATTTTCTTTCTCTAATTCACCATTGATGAGCACCTAGGTTGATTCTTTTCCTTTGCTATTGTGAATAGTGCTGTGATGAAAATGTGACTGCATGTGTCTTTTTGGTTAAAAGGATTGTTTTCTTTTGGGTACATACCCAATAACGAGATTGCTGGGTTTAATAGTAATTCTGTTTTAAGTTCTTTGAGAAATCTCCAAACTGCTTTTCACAGTGGCTGAAGCAATTTACATTCTTACTAACAGTGTATAAGCATTTCCTTTTCTCCACAGCCTTGCCAACGTCTGTCGTCACTGTTGTTTATGAATTTTTTTTTTTTTTTTTTGAGACAGAGTCTCACTCTGTTGCCCAGCCTGGAGTACAGTGGCACAATCTCGGCTCACTGCAAGCTCCTCCTCCGGGGTTCATGCCATTCCAAAGTGCTTGGGTTACCATACCCAGCAGTTTTTGACTTTTTAATAATAGCCATTCTGACTGGTGTGAGATAGTATCTCATTTTGGTTTTAATTTGCATTTCTCTGATGATTACTAATGTGGCATGCTCTTTCATATATGTGTTGGCCACTTTTTTGTCTTCTTTTGAGATGTGTGTGTTCATGCCTTTTGCCCACATTTAATGGTGGTGTTTTTTGCTTGTTGAATTGTTCAAATTTCTTATAGATGCTAGACATTAGACCTTTGTTGCATGCATGGTTTCTAAATATTTTCTCTCATGCTTTAGGTTGTCTGTTTACTTTGTAGATTGTTTTTGTTCAGAAGCTCTTTAGTTTAATTAGGTCTCACTTGTCAATTTTTGTTTTTGTTGGAATTGCTTCTGAGGACTCACTCATGTATTGTTTCCCAAGGCCAGTGTCTAGAATGGTGTTTCCTAGATTTTCTTTCTTTTATGATTCTGATAGTTTGAGGTTTTATATTAAAATATTTAATTCATATTGAGTTAATTTTTGTATATGATGTAAGGTAGAGGTCTAATTTTATTTGTCTGCCTGTGGTTAGCCAATTATCCCAGTGCAATTTACCGAATAGAGAGTCCTTTCCCCATTGCTTTGTCAACTTTGTCAAAGATCAGATAGCTGTAGGTGTGTGGGTTTGTTTCTGTGTTCTCTATGCTGTTCCATTAGTTTATGTGTCTGTTTTTATATAAGTACTATGCTGTTTTGGTTACTGTAACCTTATAGTATAGTTTCAAATTGGGTAATTTTCAATTTCTAGCTTTTGTTATTTTTGTTTAGGATTGCTTTGGCTATTTGGAATCATTTTTGGTTCCATAATTTTTTTTTCTTTTTTTTGAGATGGAGTCTCACTCTTATCACCCAGGCTGGAGTGCAGTGGTGCAATCTCTGCTCACTGCAAGCTCCACCTCCCAGGTTCACACCATTCTCCTGCCTCAGCCTCATGAGTAGCTGGGACTAGAGGCACCCACCACCACGCCCAGCTAATTTTTTGTATTTTTTAGTAGAGACAGGATTTCATCGTGTTAGCCAGGATGGTCTCAATCTCCTGACCTCGTGATCTGCCCACCTCGGCCTCCAAGAGTGCTGGGATTACAGGCATGAGCCACTGCGCCGGGCCTGGTTCCATATGAATTTTAAAATAGCTTTTTCTAGTTATGTGAAAGTAATATTGGTAGCTTTATAAGAATAGTGTTGAATCTGCAGATTGTTTTGAGCAGTATGGAAATTTCAATGATATTGATTCTTCCAATGCGTAATCATGGAATGTTTTTTCCATTTGTTTGTGTCATCTCTGATTTCTTGCAGCAGTGTTCTGTAGTTCTCCTTGTAGAGATCTTCCACCTCCTTGGTTAGATGTATTCCTATGGTTGTGTGTGTGTGTGTGTGTGTGTGTGTGTGTGTGTGTGTGTCTATTGTAAATTGAACTGCATTCTTGATTTAGCTCTCAGCTTTAACATTATTGGTGTATAGACATGTTACTGATTCTTGTACATTGATTTTCTATCCTGAAACTTTTCTGAAGTCTTTTATTATTTCCAGTACTCTTCTAGTGGAGTCTTTAGGGTTTTCTATGTAACATTCATGAAGAGAGATAGATTAAGTTCTTCTTTTGCTATTTGGATGTCTGCTATTTCTTTCTTTGCCTGACTGCTCTGGCTAGCACTTCCAGTACTATGCTGACTAGGAGTGGTGAGAATGGCACCCTTGTTTTCTTCTAGTTCTCAAGGTTCCAAGTTTTGCCTGTTCAGTCTAATATTGGCTGTGGGTTTGTTATAGATGGCTCTTATTATTTTAAGGTATGTTCTCTTGATGCCTGGTTTCTTGAGGGTTTTTATATAGAAAGGATGTTGGATTTTATCAAATCATTTTCTACATCTAATGTGATAATCTTATATTTTTTGTTAATCCTATTTATGTCGTGAATCACACTTAATGATTTGCTTATGTTACGACAGCCTTCCAGTCCAGGAATGAAGGCTACTTTACTGTGGTGAATTAACTCTTTGGTATGCTCTTGAATTCCATTTACTAGTGTTTTGTTGATGATTTTTGCATCTACGTTCATCAATCAGGGACATTGGCCTGTGGTTTTCCTTTTTCAATATATCTTTTCCAGGTTTGGTATCAGGATGATGTTGGCTTTGTAGAATGAGTTAGAGAGAAGTTCTTCATCTTCGTTTTGTTGGAAAAATCAGTAGAATTTTTTACTGAATTCTACTGAATTTTTTACTGAATTGTAACAATTCAGTAGAATTGGTACCGGCTCTTCTTTGTATGTCTGGAAGAATTTGGCTGTGCATCCATCTAGTCTGAGGCTTTTTTTTTTTATTGGTAAGCTTTTTATTACTTATTCTGTTTCAGAATTCAATATTGGTCTATTCAGTGTTTCAGTTTCTTTTTGATACAATCTTGGGAGGTGTGTTTCCAGAAATTTATACATTTCCTCTAGATTTTCTAGTTCGTATGCATGTAGGTGTACGTAAAAGTTTCTGAGGATCTTTTGTATTTCTCTGGGATCAGTTGTAATGTCACCTTTGTCATTTAAGCACCTTTGTCATTGTGCTTATTT
The DNA here is from genome assembly GCF_000001405.40 of Homo sapiens. NCBI lineage: Eukaryota > Metazoa > Chordata > Mammalia > Primates > Hominidae > Homo > Homo sapiens. The sequence goes on from NC_000012.12 coordinate 73,312,702, forward strand.
GAAACTTTTCTTATTTCATTTTCTTTGTTAATCTATCTAGAAGTCTATCAATCTCATTTATCCTTTCAAATTTTCAACTTTTGGTTTCATTGATTTTTTGTATGTATTTGTGTGTCTCAATTTCAGTCAGTGCTACCTTGATTTTAGTTATTTCTTTTCTTCTGCCAGCTTTGAGTTTAGACTGTTTTTGTTTTTCTAGTTTCTTTAGGTATAATGAGAGATCACTAATATGAGATCTTTCTAACTTTTTAAGGTAGGTATTTAGAGCTATAAACTTTCCTGTTAACACTGCTTTTCCAGCATCCCAGACATTTTACTATATTGAGTCTCTGTTTTCATCTATTTTAAATAATTTTCTGATTTCTGCCTTAATTTTGTTGTTTACCCAAAAGTCATTCAGAAGCAAGTTTTTTAATTTCTGTATGATTATGTGGTTTTGAGAGACTTTCTTGGTATTAATTTCTATTCATATTCCATTGTGGTCAGAGAATATGGTTGGTATGATTCCAATTATTTAAAATTTATTGAGAATTGCTTTAGGGTGAGCTTGTGGTCAGTCTTGGAGTATGTTCCATGTGCAGGTGATATGAATGCATATTCTGTGGTTGATAGGTAGAGTATTCTATAGTTGTCTATAAGTTCTAATTGATCAAGTGTCAAGTTTAAGTCCAGAATTTCTTAGTTTCCTGCCTCTATGACCTGTCTAATGCCATAAGTGTTGAAGTCCTTTTCTATTATTGTGTGGCTAAGTCTTTTTGTAGGTCTAGAAGTTCTTATTTTATGAATCCAGGTGCTCCAATGTTGGCTGCATATATATTTAGGATTGTTAAGTCTTCTTGTTGCATTAAACCCTTTATCAGTATGTAGTGCTCTCTTTGTCCTTTTTTACTGTTATTTGTTTAAAGTCTGTTTATCTGATATGAGAATATTGACCCCTGCTCTTTTGTATTTTCTGTTTTCATGATAGATCTATCTCCAACCCTTTGCTTTGAGCCTATGGGCATTTTTAAATGTGAGATAGGTGTCTTGAAGATAGCAGATGAATGGGCCTTGTTTTTTTTAATTCAACTTGCCACTCCATGCCTTTGAAGTGGGGGTGTTTAGAACATTTACATTCAAGGTTTATATTGATATGTAAGGCTTCGATCTTATCATGAAGTTGTTAGCTGTTTGCTTTGTAATTTCCATTGCGTGGTTGCGTTACACCATCTGTAGGATATGTATTTAAGTGTATTTTTCTGGTAGCAGGTATTATTCTTTCATTCTTATGTTTAGAACTCTCTTATGAATTCTTGTAAGACTTGTCTAGTGGTAACAAATTCCCGTGGACTTACTTGTGTAGAAAAGCTTTTATTTCTCCTTTGCCTTTAGAGCTTAGTTTGGCAAGATATAAAATTCTTGGTTGAAATTTCTTTTCTTTAAGAATGCTGAAAATAGGCCCCCAGTCTCTCCTGGCTTTTAGATTTCTGTTGAGAAGTCCACTGTTAGCCTGATGGAGTTCCTTCTGTATGTAATTTGACCATTTTCAATAGCCACCTTTAAGATTTTTTCTTAAAAGAAAAAATCTTAGACCTTGGACCTTGGACACTCTGCTAACTATATGCCTTGGTGATGTTCATGTTGTATAGTATCTCTCACGTGTTCTCTGGATATTTTTGTATCTGGATCTCTACATGTCTGGCAAGATTAGAAAATTTTTCTTTAATTATTTCCTAAAATATATTTTCCAGGTTATTTACTTTTTGTCCTTCTCTCTCAGGAATGCCAATAATTTGTAGGTTTGGTCACTTTATATCATCTCACATTTCTCAAAACGTTTGTGCATTCTTAAAAGTTCTTTTTGCTTCATTTTTTTCTGGGTTAGTTTGAAAGTCTGGTCTTCGCGCTCTGATATTATTTCTTCTGCTTGTTCTAGTCTATTGATAAAGCTTTCAACTGTATTTTGAAATTTCTCAAGTGAGTTTTTCAACTGTGATTGATTTCTTTTCAAAATGTTTATCTCATCTTTCATTTCTTGGATTGCTTTAGAAGTTTCTTTGTGATTTGCAAGTTTGTCTTGCATATGGTTGAGCTTCCTTGCAACCCACACTTTGAATTATTTATGTTATTTCTGAGTTTCCATTCTCATTAGCAACCATTGCTGGAGAGCTAGTGTGATCCTTTGGTAGTGTCACCACATTTGTATTTTTCATTGTGCCAAGATTCTTGCCCTGGTTTCTTCTCATCTGGGGATGCTGGCACTTGTAATTTTTATAATTATTTTCATATGGGCAGAATTTTTCTTTGTCTTTCTTTTCCCTACAGTATTGTTTATCTTTCACTTTCCCTTCCTCCCCCACTTCCCAACTAGGGAGTACAACTGTAGAGAATGCTGGGCAGGGTCTTTTGGCTTTGCTTCTCTAGCCTTATGAACTTACGTCTGCAGGTTTACACTGGGCTGTGCACTTTGACCTATGAGCCATTAGTTGGTGCTTATAGGGAGGAACTGGCTGTAGCCAACATGGCTGTATATATATTTGAACCTAGTTTACCGGCAGAAACTCTTTTTTCCTCGGGCACTGGGATGATGCATGAAATACACAGGGTTCTGGGCTTCCTCCTCAGCTCTAGGGGTCTGGGGACTGTGATGGGTAAGGCTGGACTGGGCAGGTTTGCCTACAAGTCCCCTGATGGAAGGCACAAGCACCAGTGCCAAAGGAAAATCCACAGGTGACCACCAAGCACCCAGAAGTGTGCCTAGGCATGGATCTGAGTAACCTCGTTGGCCCCAAGTTGTCTGTATGAGGATGAGGGTGGCTTAAATTCTAATCCAACAGAGTGTGAGCTCCAGATTCCTGGAGGTGGGCCTGGACATAGAGTGGAGAGGGCTCTCCTGCACCAAGGTATTTGCACAGGAGAGGAGAGGCAACTCAGGCTGCTGAACTAGTCAAGCAGGTGCCATGAATGCCTGAAAATATACCTTGGCGTGTAACAGAGAGGGCTCCCTTGCACCAGGATCTCTGTATAGGAGGGATGGGGTGACTCAGGCTGCTGAATCAGGTAAGCAGGTGATCTGACTGCCTGGAGATCTGCCTGGGCATGGAGTAGAGAGAATCTTGTTCACAATCTATGTCCAGGATGAGTGGGGTGGCTCAGGCTGCTGACACAAATGAGCAGTTGCTCTGAATATCTGGAGATGTACCTGGGCATGAAGCAGAGAGCACCCCATTCCACCACAATCATGTCCAGGAAGTGTGAGGTGGTCCAGGAAAGTGGGTGCTCCTAATGCCTGGATTTATGCTTGGGGGTGGAGTAGAGTGGGCCCTGCTACAACATGATCTCAGAAGAGCAGGCTTGGGCACCCAACTATGGCAAATGCAGATCAGTTCCAGGTCACTAAGGTGGTCCTCGTTGCAAGTCCTGTTGACCTGAAAATACTGCAACTGTAGCAGCCCTCCTCCCACCCCAGGCCTGCAACTGAGGAGAGCATAATCCCATACCTACTTCTGATGGGATTTCCACAATTCTGGCTATGGAGGCCCCTATTCCACTCCAGAGCAGTTACTTCAATCTCTGGCCTGAGACTGAAATATCTACATGGCCACACAAGACTAAAATATCTCCATGGCCACACTGCTGGGTTGCCTTTCTTATGTGCATACATTAAAAATGGCATCCTGCTCTCAGTACCTGGTCTGGAAAAATGTTTGCAGCTTTTCCTCTTGTCCTTCCCTCACAGCATCTCCAACCCTGTCTTCAAGTTAGCTTCATGGCTTGAGAGAAACAACGTGCTCTCCTTCTGCCTGAGTTGCTTGGATCCCCAGTGGAAAAATGAGTGACAGAGGGAGTGACTGCTCACATACTAGGGCATCACTTACTTTTATCACCCAGACACCATCACAGGAGCTGTTTGCTGGGGTTCTCCTCCCTGTGATCTTGGGTATCCTTCACAGTTCAAGTGGATTCCCATTTTCCTTCTTGAATTAAAGTTCACAGAGTTGATCTTTCCATACTATCTTGCCATTTCCAAGTGGCTGAGGCATACTAAAACCTCTAATCTGCCATCTTGGAAAAAAAAATCTGTACTGCTATTTCTTATACCAATGAGGAATAAGTTTTACAAGTTTTGGGCTACTGGCTGAAGACTCAATGGCACAAAAGGGTTTCTACTGTCATGGATATCTTAGTCTAAGTGTGTTCATATTTTTCTCCTTTTTATTATGAAGAGGCAAAAAATATATAAATAAATATTCAGTGATGCTCAAAATAGTTATTATTAAATATTTGATTGAGAACATACAATCTTACTTAAATAATGTTATGTAGTATAGATATGATATTCCTGGTCTTCAGTTTCAAAACTTATTTTTAAAATGAGAAAATTTAAACTAGATGATTATATCTAAAGTTTCTTCTATCAGCAAAAGTCTATAGTTCTTTGGGTCAGATTGATATTTACAACACCCTGAATATACCTTTAGCATTCTTATACATTTTGGATGCTTTATTAATGATGCCTATGTTTTAATTCTGCATATATTGACCTATTGTCAGTGGGGAAGATATTTGTTTAGATACATTATACAAAATTAGAAGTCTAGGACTTTTGTAGAAGCTTGTCTGCAACACTACTGCCTAAAATAAGACAAAACTGTTAGCTGTTTAAACTGGACTGGCCTATTCTTAGAACAGAGAGACCATTTCAATGGCTTGTAAGCCAATTCATCATCCCAGTTTCTGGACTGTAAAACTTCTTGGGCGAGTTTCAAACCAGGGAATGTTGGAGCTCAGAAAATAATACACCATAATGAAGGCATTAGAAGCAGCCTAAAAGCAAAAGTTTCTCCTTTACCTTCTCCTGCCTTCCTGTCTCTCACATCCTGTTCTCCACAAGGCCAGCCATAGATACTGGAATCTCTCTTTCCCAAGATGTGTAGCAGAAACCAGAATGTTTTTTCCTCAGTCATCCATAAAACCTGAAAATATCACTTTAACTTTTTTTCACCTTTCTGTGTAAAAAATGGACATAAAGAAATTCTCTGACTTACCTTGTTTGACTGTAGGTCATAAGATCAACATTCTAGAGAGGATCCTGTCCCGCTCTCAGAGGAAGGAATTCTGGAATGCTGCACAGAAAAGCCAAAAGGAATCTAAACAGAGGTCTTGCTGGCTTTCCCCGCTCAGTCTATTAACATTAGCTCATACCCTTTTTGTCCAATCATATTTCTACACTGCTGTCCATACTTCATTGAACCTAAGCATAAAAATAGATAATTTTCCTTGTATCTTTGGGTCTTTATTCTGAACATTCCCATGTTACATAAAAAATGATCAAATACATTTGTTATGTTTTTCTCTTGTTAACCTGTTTTCTATTATAGGAGTGTAGCCATGATCCTTATGATGGAGATGAAAGTGATCACACTCAGCCCCTATACTTGTGAACTTGAGTATCAGTTATATTGATAAGAATGAATTACATTTAAAGACATATATATTCGAGTTTAAGAAAACTATATATATAATGTATTACTTTAGATGTTGATACCCACAGAAAAGAGCTTCAATAAGTTAAAAAATTTTGTAAAGGCTCTGAAGTTAATAACACTTCAAAGTTGAAAAGCTGTCTACTCCTAGTGGCATAGATAGTTTCTGTAGCATGCCATTACATTTTTAATTTTTATTTTTTATTTATTTTTTTTTTGAGATGGAGTCTCACTCTGTCGCCCAGGCTGGAGTGCAATGGCGCGATCTTGGCTCACTGCAAGCTCTGCCTCCCAGGTTCACGCCATTCTCCTGCCTCAGCCTCCCGAGTAGCTGGGACTACAGGTGCATGTCACCATGCCCAGATAATTTTTTGTATTTTTAGTAGAGACAGGGTTTCACCATGTTAGCCAGGATGGTCTCGATCTCCTGACCTCGTGATCCACCTGCCTCGACCTCCCAAAGTTCTTTCATTTTACAGTATGTACAAACTTTAGAATGATCACATTTGGATACAAACCAAAAATTATTTGGTTAAATACTTGATTTTCTAAAATTGATAGGTAAATATAATTGCTTTCTAAAGTGTACTTTAATGCTTTTAGAAATATAAACCTTTAATTGGAGAGTGAAAAAACATTGTCCAGAACTGTTTTTTCACTTAGTCAGAGTACACATACTTTTGAAAAGCATGTTAAGTCTACTTCAAGGTTTCAACAGAGTTCTTTTCAATTATTTTAAATTTAATCACCACATTACATAATATTAATCTTACACAAAATATAGAAATTATGACAGATTTAAATAAAAAATAGCTCCTAGATATAAAATCTAATTCTGCCTCCCTGAGTTCCTCCCTCAAAGATGACTTAAATAGGTGGCCCACTTTGAGTGGAATATAATATTGTCCACGGCTGCCAATCCCCAGAACATGTACATTAAAAATCAAATCACTGCTGAATTTGAGATTCTGACCAGCCTAATTTTTTCTTTTCTTCAAGACAAAAATGTATATGTTTTTTAATTTTTACACATTTCTTTTTCTTTTTTTTTTTTTTGACAGGGTCTCCCCCTGTCACCCAGGCTGGATTGCAGTGGTGTGAACATAGCTCACTGCAGCTTCAGTCTCGTGGGCTCAAGCTATCCTCCTGCCTCAGCCTCCTAAGTAGCTTGGATCACTGGCACACACCACCACACCCAGCTGCTTTTTTTTTGTACAGGCAAGATCTTGCCCTATTGCCCAGGCTGGCCTCGAGCTCCTGGCCTCAAGCAGTTTTTCCACCTTGGCCTCCCCAAGTGCTGGGATTCTAAGTGTCAGCAACTGTGCCTGGCTATCTATTAATTTTTAAACTTAAATTAAGCTCCTTTCTTTACCTCCTGTCCTGCTTTTACTGTTTGTTAATTGATGTGACATTACTGTTCCTCCTGCTGTTTTCCAAGAAGGGAAGCTATTAACATATTCTAGTTTCCATAGAAACAAGTTTTGTCCACTGTTGATGGTTGAGCATATATTTGCTTATAAGTTAACTTTTATCTATGTCCTTATAAAGTTAGCTTAGAATACTTGCTTCTCTTTAGAGGAAACTTTTTTGAGTATTTTTAGTTTACAGATCTTGTAATAATATGAAATTGCTAAGAAGTTAATAAAGCCTTCAAGATTCAGATGCTACCATTCCCATAGATCAAATTTATCAGTATAGTTACTATATGAGATTAATATGCACTCATATTTAAATTAGGTGGGCATTTGGATATAAATTCCAGCTAATTTGTTATAATATGAGAATAATATGCACTCATATTTAAATAAGGTGGTCATTTGGATATAAATTCCAGCTAAAATGTGTTAAGTGCTTTACTTAGTTTGGTAGAGATGAGAACTATCTTAACAGTCTAATAATTTTTACAAAATGATCTGTGGGATGAGCATAGCAATTAAACTAGAACAGAGGATACAGAACTGATCTAAGATATATGGTTATTCCATTAAATATATAATATAGCTACCATATGTTATTTTCACTGAATGACATTTTAATATTTAATTGTAATATAATATAGTCTTATTTATAAAAAGTTTTATTTTGATTTAAAGTAATATATGATTTAATAAGTGAGTTAACTGTGCAGGTTAATATACATATTGCACAAGGGCATGCTAATGCAATTAAAAATTAGCTAAGGCAAAAATTATCATTAAATATTTATAGAAAGCTAAAACCAAGGATTATTTTTGTATTTGCTATGCCTAATATCTGTTTTTCAAAGACATGTTTCATATCCATGTTCTTTTACAACTTAACTCTTTCCTGGTGTAAAGTATTATTTGAATGCAAAGATAATTCTGCATTTAACAAAAAGGTTCATAAATTAACATTTACCAAGACCATTCAGGTTAACTTTCATATCATTATTTAAAGCTTAATGAAAGCTTTTTTATTTTTTTTTCTTTTGAGACAGGGACTCAAAAAATAAGAAGTTAAGCTTTTCTAAAAGGCTCATTTGTAAATATGTCACATCTCTTGCCATTAATTTATTAACAAGATTATTCTTTTTAATAAGGAAGGGCTATACAAATTTTCTCTCTCTCCCCCCACCTCTGTGCATACTTCCTCATCAAATGTTTCAAAACTGTTCATTGTTTTTTCCAAAGAATTTATATTTTAAATAAATATAATATTTTTAATTCTAAAAACTATGGCAAGTTAGAACTGAAAGTGATTTTGTTGAGTTTACTTCTGAGAAAATAGACGTAGGATCTAAGATGACTGACTAGCTGCAGCCATGTGGAAGAGCTCCCACTGAGGGACTAAGATTACTGGCATGGTTTTAACAGATCTTTTGAGGGAAGGCACTGAGAATAGACAGAGGGAAGACACAGAAGTTGAGCTGAAGGGAGAAAAAGCTGGGAACCCAGTACAGGGCTACCACACACCACAACTGATTTTCAGACCTCAGCAGCTCCAGAGAAACGGTTGAACTGGAGAAACCCACTGTCACCATGGGCCTCCGGAACCCCACAGGAGAAGACTCCTTGATCACCATGGACACTCAAGTTGGCAGGGAGAGCTGCTTATAGAAGTGATAAGGGCAGCAATCCAGCTGATGTGGAGCCCAGAGGGTTGATGTGGGAGCATCTGTAGCAGAACACAGCCAGGGACAGCTATCTCCCTAGGCTTTACTTGCTCCCATAGGAGGTCTTAGCCCTAAGGGAACAGTTAGACCTGATCTCTGCAGGGTGGTCTTGCCCATTAGATAGGGCTGACCTGAGCATCCCTTGGTCTATTAGCCAACTTGTGGGACCCCAGCCCAGCTGTGCCTGCTTGCAGGGAAGTCTTGGGTGCCCTGGGGCCTACACCATAGCTTCTGCACTAGAAGACCATGCCTGACCAGTAGAGAAGCCAATGAGGTAGCCCCTATGGCCACAGAAAAGCCTGCTCCTTCCCTCCCCATACTGCAGCTTCCCCTGGGCCCATGGCAACTCCCCATATCGCTTTGCTGGTACATGTCTGCCTGGGCATGTTTTTGTTTCCTTGCCCCACCAACATGCAGGAGTATAGTCTGCCCCCTGCCCCAACCAACCACCATTGGAGATGAAGCCTTGGTGGGCACAGAGCTGGCAAACCCTGTTCCTGCCAATGCCCTGCCCTTGTGCTAACACTGCACAGGGAATAGTGGATCTTTCCAGACCCTGAATGATCATGTGTGCTTGTGGTGTACAGAGAAGCCACCCAGAACTGTGTCCACCAGCACCACATCCCCAAGCCTACACCACCTCCAGTGCAACCGACCACATACAAAGTATCTGTCAGTAGCCGCCGTTGCTCCCACAACTGTTACCTCTGCCATTGTGGTGAACACCCACGGAAAAGCAGGCACCCCACCACTTATTAGCCCTTTGCCACAGCTGCTGCATCTCAAACCTCTCTCCAGTGCAGTGGACTCCAAACCTCTAGGAGCCAGAGAACAAAGTTGGGGCCCAATACAAGTCCCCCAGAGTTAAAGCACACAGTCCAGGTGTTGGTAGCTGAGTTTTGGACCCCTAAAATCTCTCAGAAATGAAGCTAGTCAGAAATGCCACAATCAAACCCTCAGGGTCATCAAAAAGGAAAAAAGAAAAAAAAATCTAAGGGTTAGCAACCTCAAAGATTGAAGCTATTAATAGATGAACCCACGAAGATGAGTAAAAATCAGCACAAGAACCCTGAAAACTCAGAAAGCCAGAGTGCCTTCTTTCTTCCAAATGACCACATCACCTCTTCAACAAGGGTTCTGAACTTGGCTGAGAGGGCTGAAATGACAGAAATAGAATTGAGAATATGAATAGGAAGGAAGATCATTCAGCTACAGGAGTGCATTGAAACCCAATGCAGGGAAGCCAAAAATCATGAAAAAAACATTGCAAGGGCTGACAAACAATATAGCCAATATAAAGAAGAACATAACTGACCTGAGAGAGTAGAAAAACACACCACAAGAATTTCATAATGCAATTACAAGTATTAATAGCAGAATAGATAAATGAAGAAAGGAATCTCAGAATGTGAAGACTGCCTTTCTGAATAAGACAGTAAGACAAGAATAGAGGCAAAATAATGAAAAGGAATGAATGAAAACTCCAAAAAATTTGGGATTATATAAAAAGATAGAATCTATGACTCATTGGTGTCCCTGAAAGAGATGAGGAGATTGGAACAAATTTGCAAAACACATTTCAAAATATTATCCATGAGAACTTCTCCAACCTAGCTAGAGAGGCCAACATTCAAATTCAGGAAATGCAGAGAATTCCAGTAAGATACTTTACAAGAAAATCATCCTTAAGACACATAATCATCAGATTCTCCAAGGTTGAAATGAAAGAAAAAATGTTAAAGGTAGCTAGCAAGAAAGGTAAGGTCACCTACAAAGGGAAGCCCTTCAGACTAACAGCAGACCTCTCAGCAGAAACCCTGCAAACCAGAAGAGATTGAAGCCCAATATTGAACTTTTTTTTTCCTTGAAACAGGATCTCACTTTGTCACCCAGGCTGTAGTGCAGTGGCACGATCTTAGCTCACTGTAGTTTTTACCTCTCGAGTTCAAGCAATCCTCTTGCCTCAGCCCCTCAAGTAGCTGGGACTACATTTGTGTGTGACCATGCCTGGCTATTTTTTTTTCTTTTGTATTTTTTGTAGAGATGAGTTTTGCCATGTTTCCCAGGCTGGGCTCAAACTCCTGAGCTCAAGTGATCCACCCCCCCTCAGCCTCCCAAAGTGCTAGGAATACAGGCATGAGCCACTGTACCCTGCCCAATATTGGATATTCTTAAAGAAAATAAATTTCAACCCAGAATCTCATATTTGAGCAAACTAAGCTTTATCAATGAAAGGAAAATGAGATTCTTTTCAGATAAGCAAATCCTGAGGAAATTTGTTGCCACTAGACCTGCCTTACAAGACGTCCTAAAAAAAACACTAAATATGGGAAGAAAAGACCATTACCAGCCACTACAAAAACACACTGAAATATACAGACCAGGGACACTATGAAGCAAACACATAAACAAGTCTGCAAAATAATCAGCTAACATAATGATGACAGGATAAAATCTACACATATCAATACTAACCTTAAATTTAAATGGGCTAAATGCCTCAATTAGAAGACAAAGAGTGGTGAGCTGGATAAACAACCAAGACCCTTTGGTATGCTGTCTTCAAGAGACCCATCTCACATGCAAAGACACATATAGGCTCAAAATAAGGGGATGGGGAAAAATATCTCAAGCAAATGGAAAATAGAAAAAAGCAGACATTGCAATCCTAGTTACTGACAAAACAGACTTTAAACCAACAAAGATCAAAAAGACAAAGAAGGGCATTACATAATAGTAAAGGTTCAATTCAACAAGAATATCTAACTTTATTAAATCTGTATGCATCCAACACAGGAGAACACAGATTCACAAAGCTCTTAGGGACCTTCAGAAAGACTTAGACTCCCTCACAATAATAGTCAAAGACTTTAACACCCCACTGACAATATTAGAGAGATCATCCAGACAGTAAATTAACAAAGATATTCAGGAACTGAAGTCAGCACTGGATAAAATAGACCTGACAGATACCTATACAAGTTGCCATCCCAAAACAACATAATATACATTCATCTCATTGCCACATGGCAGATACTATAAAATCAATCATAAAATCAAAAGTAAAACACTCCTCAGCAAATGCAAAATAACTGAAATCATAATAAACACTCTTTGATCACAGTGCAATCAAATTAGTTATCAAGATTAAGAAATTCACTCAAAACCATACAATCATATGGAAATTAAATAACCTGTTCCTGAATGAATTTTAGGTTAATAAGGAAATTAAGGCAGATATCAAGAAGTTCTTTGAAACTAGTGAGAACAAAGATACAACATACCAGAATCTCTGGGACATGGCTGAGGCAATATTAAGAGGGAAATTTATAGCACTAAATTCCCACATCAAAAACCTAGAAAGATCTCAAGTTAATAACCTAATATCACAACTAAAAGAACTACAGAACCAAGAGAAAATAAAATCTCATAACTAGTAGAAGATGAGAAATAACCAAAATAAGATCTGAACTGAAGGATACAGAGACATAAAAAACCATTCAAATGATCAACAAATCCAGGAGCAGATATTTTGAAAAAGTCCATAAAATAAATAGACAATTAGCTAGACTAACAAAGAAGAAAAGGGAGAAGATTCAAATAAAGTCAATCAGAAATGATAGGGGGATATTACCACTGACCCCACAGAAATGCAAACAACCATTAGAGAATATTATGAATACCTCTATGCACATAAATGAAAAATTGAGAAGAAATGGATAAATTCCTGGATATATACACCCTGCCAAGACTGAACCAGGAAGAAATTAAATCCCTGAACAGACCAATAATGAGCTCACAAAGTCAGGAATAAATAGCCTACCAACCAGAAAAGGCTCAAAATCAGATGGATTCACAGCTAAATTCTACCACCTGTACAAAGAAGAGCTGACACCATTCCTGCTAGAACTACTCCAGAATATTGAGGGAAGGAAGGAACTTGCTAACTCATTCTATGAGGCCATCATCATCCTGATATCAAAACTTGGCAGAGATGTAACAGAAAAAGAAAACTTCAGACAAATATTTTTTATAAACATCAATGCAAAAATTCTCAACAAAATACTGGGAAACCAAATCAAGCAGCACATCAAAAAGCTTATTTACCATGAACAAGTAGGCTTTATCCTTGAGATGCAAGTTTGGTTCAACATACACAAACAAATTAATAAATGTGATTCATCAAATAAACAGAACTAAAAACAAAAACCACATGATTATATCAATAGTACAGAAAAGACTTCTAATAACATTTAACATCCCTTCATGCTAAAAATTTTTAATCAAACTTGGTATTGAAGGAACATACCTCAAAATAATAAGAGCCATCTATGATGAACCCACAGCCAACATCATACTGAATGGGCCAGAGCTGGAAGCATTCCCCTTTAAAAACCAGCAGAAGATAAGAATGCCCTCTCTCATCACTCCTATTCAACATATGATTGGAAATCCTGGCCAAGGCAATGAGGCAAGAAAAAGAAAGGCATCTAAATAGGAAGGGAGGAAGTCAAAATATCCTGCTTACAGATGACATAATCCTATATCTAGAAAGACCCATTGTCTCAGCCCAAAAGCTTTTTAAGCTAATAAATAACTTCAGCAAAGTCTCAGGATACAAAATCAATGTCCAAAAGTCACTAATGTTCCTATACACCAAAAACAGTCAAGTTGAGAGTCAGATCAGAAAGGCACTCTCATTCACAATTGCCACAAATAGAATAAAATACCTAGGATACAGCTAACAAGGGAGGTGAAAGATCTCTACAAGGAGAACTACAAAACACTGCTCAAAGAAAGCAGAGATGTCACAAACAAATGGAAAAACATTCCACGCTAATGGATAGGAAGAATCAATACTGTAAAATAACCATACTGCTTAAAGCAATTTATAGATTCAATGCTATTCCTATAAAACTACCTATTGATATTCTTCATAGAACTAGAAAAAAACTATTCAAAAATTCATATGAAACCAAAATAGATCCAGAATGGCCAAGGCAATCCTAAACAGAAAGAACAAAGCTGGAGGCATCACTGTATTTCAAACTATACTATAGGACTGCAGTAGCCCAAACATAGTTGGCACAAAAAAAATACACGTAGACCAATGGAACAGAATAGAGAACGCAGAAATAAGTCCTCACACCTACAACTATCTGATCTTTGAAAAACCTGGCAAAAACAAGCAAAGGGGAAAGGATTCCCTATTTAATAAATAGAGCTGAGATAACTGGCTAGCCATATGCAGAAGATTGAAACTAGAACCCCTCCCTTATACCATATACAAAAATTAACTTAAGATGGATTAAATACTTAAATGTGAAACCCCAAATTATGAAAACCCTAGAAGACAGCCTAAGCAATACCGTTCAGTACAAAGGAATGGGCAAAAATTTAATGACGAAGATGTCAAAAGCAATTGCAACAAAAGCAAAAATTAACAAATGGGATCTAGCCGAACTAAAGAGATTCTGCACAGCAAAGGGAACTGTCAACAAAGTAAACAGACAACCTACAGAATGGGAGAAAAGTTTTGCAAACTATGCATCTGGCAAAGGTCAAAGAACATGAACAGATACTTCTCAAAAGAAGGCATGCACATGGCCAACAATCATATGAAAAAAGAAATCTATCAAAACCACAATGAAATACCATCTCATACCAGTCAAAATATCTATTATTAAAAAGAACAAAATAACAGATGCTGGTGAGGTTGTGGAGCAAAAGGAATGTTTATACACCATTGGTGGGAGTGTAAATTAGTTCAACCATTGTGAAAGACAGTGTGGCGATTCCTCAAAGACCTATAAAGAGATACACCATTCAACCAAGCAATCTCAATACTGGGATATATCCAAAGGAATATGAATCATTCTATTATAAAGAGACATGCAGGTGTGTGTTCATTGTAGCACAGTTCATTACAACAAAGACGTGGAATCAACCTAAATGCCCATCAATATTAGACTGGATAAAAATGTGGTATATATACACCATGGAATACTATGCAGTCATAAAAATGAAGGAATCATGTCCTTTGCAGGAACATGGATGGAGCTGGAGGTCATTCATTATCCTTAGCAAACTAACACAGGGACAGAAAACCAAATACCAGGTGTTCTCACTTATAAGTGGGAGCTAAATGATGAAAACGTATGGACATATAGAAGGGAACAACACACACTGCATATAGGGGCCTATTGGAAGGCCAAGGATGGGAGGAGATAGAGGATCAGGAAAAATAACTAATGGGTACTAGACTTAATACCTGTGTGACAAAATAATCTCTACAACAAATCCCCATGACACAAGTTTATATATTGTTATACATAAGTTATATATGTTATATATACACAATATACATATTATATATACCTATATAATAAACCTGCACATGTACCCTGACTTAAAAGTTAGAAAAAAGAAAATAGATATAGTCATACAGTTATTTGACAGCCTGTAGATTAATAATCATATGCCTGTGTGAATAATAGATATTTTAAAATAACTGTTATTTCTATTTTCAGTCTCATCAAATATGCTTAGTATCTGCTTGTCATTGACAGTGTTTATTGCCATATAAAGAAAAACAGACATGTGACTTATATCTAATATTCTTATTTTTAATAAAAAAGAAAGTTGTTTCAAAGCTTTAGTGTGCATAACAATCAACTGGGGTTTTTGTTAAAAAAAAAAAGTTTTCACAGTCCACCAGCAGTGATCTGACTTGTTAAGTATTAGGAGGAGAGACCCAAGATTTGATTTACCCAGGCCTTCAAGTGGCTCTGATGAAAATGGTTTCTAGAGCACATGTGACAAAACAAGTTTCAAACAATAAAACATAGTTTTTAGAACCAAAAAGCAACCAGAAAACCTATTTTTGTTTTCTGATATTGTATTCTGGTTACAGGATTTTAATCAAAAATCAGCTAGGATAACCCCCATTGTCCTTGTGGCAGGTCAGGTCTCACTAACAACTGTTTCAGTACTGAGTGGTTAAGTTAAATGTTAAAAGCAAGTATCCTTATACAAAGGCTGGCCTGTAACAAAAACCCATCAAGAGTTTTGCCTAGGCCTTTTCTGGGCCTTAAAGTATGACAAAATAAGGAAGGAATTCTTAACAGGACCCATTTAGAATTAAACAAGTTTTATTATGGGTCTGAAGAAACTCCCCAGGCCTCCACAAATAAGTTTATTGGGGGCCTAAAGAAACTCCTCAAACCTCCATGATTTAGCAGGAGACAAGATAAGGGTAATCATCCTGGCACCTGGACCCATTCAGATTAAATAAATTTACTGAGGCTCCAGAGGAAGGTCTTCAGGACTCACATCTTAGTTATAGACTAAAAGAAGTTAATCACTTATGTCTTTAGATAAATGCACACTTACACATAGACATATAGCTTAGAATGTATATAAGCTCCGGAAATCTTTGTAATTTTGAGTTGGCCTGCCAATAATTTCCAGGCCTTCTCTCTGTAACCAGTAACAGAAATAACAACTCTCTTCTTCCCCAGTTTATCTGCATCTCATTATTGGGCTGCGAAAAATAGTAGCCCAACCCTCAGTTTGGTCCAGGAACATTCTTGCAGATCTTCAGTGCTCATTCTTTCCTCCCCATTTTATCTACTTTTTTTTTTGTTTTCAGTGAGGGAATTAATTACATTGGGCAGCCATTACCGCACCTTTAAGTTTCTCCTCCTTTTCTCCCATAATTCGGGAGTGGTTGCCAAATGAAACAATAGGTTCAAATGGAAGGATAGTACCCTAAATCTGTTTTTTTGTTTTTTTTTTTAAATCTAGGCTGACCGTGTCTGACCAGGAAAGGCTTTGAGTGACAATCTTATCTTCTGCTGTTTAAAATACAGAAATATTGGCTTTTCCATGTCTCGGAGTCTCTGATTCTCAGTAATTTAAATTACAGGCCACAGGTAAAGAGAACCTTGCTTCCACCTTGCCTGCAAACTGGCAGATTCTTGCTTGGGCTTATCTCTTTCTTATAGGATTTTGCTAAAATTAGCAAGGAATGGAGCTCTATTTTTCTAGCCTCTTCTCACACAGCTACAAGTTCAAAAACATTTGGTATTACTCCCAGTTATCACTGCTTATAGTTCAAGTGTTTTTCCACATGACAAGTGTCACTGGCATATCGGCATATGGTATACCCTTTCTCTGTCTACTGTCAGAACACAAAGACAATGTCAGATATTTTAAACTTTTATTGCTGCAAAACCCCACTACTAGGTACTAATTTCTGAATTAATGTTTTAGTGTCCAAGCTATACTGCTGAAGTTTTACACGAACCAGTATAAAAGTGAATTGTTCAAGGTTGGTGAAAATGATCTAACCCATAAAAACATTTAGGAATCCAGGTTCTTTTCATTTTGCTCTTATCTCCAGGTGTTCTGTTCTTGATCATATCATTAATGCTGACTTGCATCCATATCCACCTTCCAGACCAGAAGAAGGTGAAGAAGGAAATTCATGATCCAGAGCTTGCTCATATAATTCTTGCATATACCATTGGCCCAAATTGAGTACATGGACACATCTACACTAAAAAAAGACTAAGAAATATATCTTGCTAAGTTATCATCTTGTAACTAAAACTTAGAGGTTCTATTATTAAAGGGAAAAAAAGAATATGAATGCAAGAGAACAATTAGTACTTAAAGCCAAAAATGGTAGTTGTGAAGAAAAATGAGAATATTGAATTAAAAATTGCTATTTGCTATGCAAATGCTCTGTTTTTTTCTTAAAGTATGATATTTCTCATAGTTGAAATACTCTTTTCCTGATCTATTTTCACTGTGCGATGTTCCTGCTAAGGAAACTACAGTGGTTTTGTTTTAATATTTCCTAATTCGACAAATATAAGGCCTTCTGAGTAGCATTCTAGTTCCCCAATAACTACTTCTCCACTTGTCTATCCTCATCTATGAAACAATTTTACTAAGCTCTAAGGAACACTTATGCATTCCCCCCTTTGTGTTAACAAAGACTTTTCCCCTAATATCTGCATTCATCTTTATCATTGTCAAAACCTGATTTAAAATTTGTCTTCACAAAGTACTAGATTAACCCTATATAATTTGCCAATTCTCACATAATCACTTTTTACTATGCTAATATGCATGTACATTGAATAATTTAAAAACATTTCAAATTTGCATCCTATCTGCCAACTTGACTATAAGCTCCTCAAGGACAGGAATAAAGTGCTTCTTTAGAACACACCATTAATATACAAAACAATGCAAATATTCCTTGTTAAAAAACTGTCCCTCCCATGAAAGTTACATTAAATTTGTGCAGAATATCACAGTGTTTGGATATGAGAGTAAGTACTCTTCCTAGATCTGCCATTTAACTTATAGTGTGAGATCTTGAACGAATAACCTGATATTTTGTGCTGCAATTGCTGTTACTCTAATGATAAAGTCTAAAGCTCTGCCAGCAGAGAAGTTCCTTAAGGCTAAGTTTGGTGGCAGTAGCATACAGGTTATTCAGTTTTAACATTTAGAATGCTTAACGGTATCCTGTTTCTGTGTAAAAGTTTATATTATTTATAAGTATTTAACATGCATTTTGTCATTATATTAGAAAGCATTGGCATGAGTATCAACTAACTCCTAGTGATAGTGCTCAACTGCTTTCTCCATGGGTCTCTAGAGCCATATAAAAAAGATAATTCATATAATAGGCCTATTAAATACATTTTTAAAAATTATCTTACTAATGAGAATTATTTGATTAAAGAAATATATCATGAGCCATGACCTAAGGCCCAACAATCTCAGAATCTGTAAAACCAAAAGTGAATCATTGCCATACACAGTTCTTACTGACTCAGCACTTTCATGCAGAATAGTTCATATAAAATAATATGTTAAGTTTATTTGACCTCTAATGTCCCCTTCAGCTGTAACATTCAGTGATTCATACTACAGAAAGTAAATGTTTCTTAATATTTCTAAATGTCAGTACTATTTATTCACATTATAATTTTTCTAGATTAACTCAAACATATCACATGAAAAAACCATGAATCATTTGAATTCAATGTATCTTATGTTTCAAATAAATCTTTTAAAATATACCTTAGTCATACAATTTTAGATCTTAGTGAGCCTTCTAGAAATACCAAAAATAACTAGCCATCCTGGAAATAAATTCGGGTGTTTCTGTTGGCTTCAGATAACAGATATTTCATTTTCTATTTTTGTGTCCTGAATGTAAAATGGTTTTTTGTAAACAATGACATTTGTATCATGAGATAATACTAGGAAATACTAATATTTGGGCTTTTACCTTGTACTCATTTATAAGAAACATTTTTTAGTCAGAAGACAAATTTACCTGCCTTCCCTTATGTTCTCGGAGGTTCCATGTTCTTCTCCTGAACTTGTCAGTAAATTATCTCAACTTATAAAATTGGGCTTTAAAAAAAATCCAAGAAATTGCTATCTAATAAAAAATTAAAAAGTTAGAAAAATAAGAAATTGTATTTTAATGGACTCATGGCAAGAAACTTGAATCCGATTGTTAATTAATTTATCCACCCAGCACTAACTTATTTCATGAGATGTTGCCTATCATTTGTTACAAGCCTGGTCCTTTATCTGCTCTTTAATTCTGCAAGAAATTACATGTTTCTTACCAAGTTAATTGGAATTGGGTTCTGTACACCTGCAATGAAATAACCCAAACAAATCCAAGAATTTGTTTGTTTGTTATTTACTTTTAAATAGAGGGATAAGAAGTAGAAGGAGAAGCCCTACAGTAAATAGTTGGCAAACACAAGGAAGATAGAGATTTATTAAAGGTCTTACCAAGATGTGATTTATTTTAGTTCTAGATTGAATTCAAGAAATAAACTCTCACTCGGGGATAGGATGAGGAAACATTCTCTTAGAGAAGAAATTATTTTAAGATTCTATATTTTTTTATTTTAATACAGGTGACTAGCACTGCATAGAGACAGGAATATATGACCATATCACAATATAAATAGACTCTAAGTGATACTCGTAAGAAAGTTATCACACTCAGTTCTTTAAAATAACTATGACTAATATACTTAAAAATCTAGAAAAATTATGGAGAAAGATGAAAAATTGAGAATGTCACTAGAAACTGTGAATCTAAAAATTAACCAAATGAAAATTTCAGACCTGAACAACATAATAAATATAATTACTAAAATTACTAAAAGCAAACTATATATAAGAGAAACTGAATTTGTATAGTAAAAGACATATTAATATGAGTTATAAATCTGAAAATCTAGAAAGAATACAAATGTATAAAATTGATTATGAGGAATTTTGAAAAAAGTGAAAATACATATCCTTTTTTCCTCATAGTAAAAGGTATTCCTAGGAGAAAGGGAGAGAGCAGATGGGGCAGAATATTAAATGTCGAAAAATTGTCCAAAACTGCTGAAAGACATGAACTCAGAGATTCATGAAGAACTGTAGATCATGTGCTGCATGAAAAAAAAAAGAAAAGAAAAATCACATTGAGGCACACCATAATAATATTGCCAAAAGAAAACAAAAAAAGAGTAAACTTTGCAGGCAGCCAGGAGAAAAAAGAGACTTCCTTTCATGGGAGAAAAAAATAACAATGACAAATAATTTGTCAAAATAAATGATGAAAGAAGATGGGGAATTACATTGCTGAATTTTGAAATAAAATATCAGTTACCCTTAAATCCTACTTTCAGTGAAAATAATCTTTAAAACTGAAGATAAGTATTCTTTTTATGGTTAGGATGTAGACATAAAAATGACAAGTTACCATCAGTTACACCCTAACACAGAGTAAAAGCTATAAAAGATGTAACATCATAGTTTTCTTGAATATATCAGAAAGCCAAAGAGAAGAAATCCAAATTAACTAAAATGCAGAATATGCAACCCTCTTCAAAAAATCATAATTGCTTGTGTCCTTGGTGAAGCAACAGAAGGAAGAAAAATTGCCATAGAATGGGGTAGCAAGAAATCAGTTAAAATTTTTAACTTCTTTTAGTTGAGTGGGGCCTGGTTCAAGCATTGAAATCCCAAGGACCTCTAGCCACAGAGCAAGATTGCATTAACTGCTATTTAATATATTCAGGACTCCACCAAGTACTTGGAAATAACATGCTGAATGAGGGGACATGGGGAGAGGGGACAAGTTAAGAGAAATGAGAGAAAGTCACTCTAAGGAATTCTGGGAACTCATCAAATGCAAGACAGTCGGTGGCATGGTAGTAATGCTGAGACATGACATTGAAAGCCAGTTTTTTCCTCTGTAGAATTTTCTTTATTGTTGTTATTTTATTTTAAAGTATGTGTGTGAATTACATTGATAAAGATAACCATTCATTTAGAAAAAGTTGTCTAGCACTGTCCTGAACTTGAATATGTGCTATGACTTTCTGCAATGCAGGTTAACACAAGATAGGCCATTCTAACTTCCATCTGAAGTTGGTATACAAAAAAGTATTATTTCAGTATGTTGAATTTTAGATATAATTAGATTTCATTAGGTCAGATTTTTTTTTCTAATTGAGTTTCCTTTTTACATTTTGAAAATTATATACCAATTTATAAGGAATGTTAAGAAACAGCTTTGTTGGGGGCTGGCTAAAACACCTATTTCTTTTCATTCCACTCACAATATACAAAAGCTCTAAATTTTAATTTGATTATACAATCATTATCAATTTTGTCATTCCCAAGTCTGTTTAACATGAAATGTTGAACATTGTTAAAAGAAAAACTTTGGACAAATTTAATTTAACATAGTTTAATTGAGTAAAAAGAGAAAGTGAAATTTGGACAGCCCCTAGAACCAGAATAGATTCAGAGTGATTCTAGGGTTACCACATGGTCAAATAACATTTATGGACAAAAAAATGAAAGTGATGTACAGAAAATGGAAATGAGGTATAGAAACATCTGGATTGGTTAGTGCTGGGCTTTTGCCTTCTTTGAACATGGTTTGAACAGTCGGCTGCCTGTGATTGGCCAAAATTCAGCCGCTGTGATTGGCTGAGACTTGGCTACTTGTTACAAGAGTACATTACAGTCTGTTTACATACAGTGAGGTCACTGTTCACTATGTGTGGAGAAATCTTTAGGTCAAACTTAAAGTATGTAAGGAGGCAGTTTTAGGTTAAACATAATTTAACAACACATACAGCTTTGGCATATGAATATCATTGAATCTCCACAATATCTGTTATGAGATACGTATTACCTCTATTTTCTAGTTGAGTAAACTTAATCTCATGGTTAAATAACTAGCTCAATATCACATAGAAGTCCTAGTTTCTCTGACAGCAAAGCCTATAGCCTTTCAGTTACATTGTGCCTCTGCTTTTCCTGCTCTGAAGTAACTTATTTCAACCAAGTCTGTTGGGTTTATTTTTTGTCATATTAAATGAGCTTGCTTACCAAGGTAATGTAATACTTGTATCAAAAATCAAGAAGAATTTGTAGCAAAAATGGACTGTGCATGCCAGCCAGAGAGAGGCACTTACTACATATGTCTGTAGATGCATTGCTTAAAGTGAAAATATACCTTATTCTGACATCAGTGTGCATAATAATGATAGGTCTAAAAATGAGAGTTGTCAGAGCTCTCCTGGACTGACAGAGAATTAATTCATTTTACATACTGAAATAACAGATGCTCATTTCTCTTAATGATGACATTTGAGAATTCATTAAACAAGTCCATATTGATTGACAAACAGTGTTGACTACTGAACACAGTACTTTGTGCTACCCTTTCATTTGTTCCCCATTCTCATATCCTTGCCACTGTGAAAGTCTATTTCAATATGTCTGTATTTTGAAGAGGAAAAATATTTTTTATGACATATATTATTTTTCTATTTTAAAAACAACTTAGGACAGAAACACTATCAATATTGTCAATATTTTGTTTTTTTTTCCCCTTTTGATCATAGGTTCAGCATTTAGACCATATGAGAGTCAAGTGATGAATTGGCTGTGGCATTGCTGGTCCACAAATGTCAGTAAGGATGTGTTGGGGGATACATTTAGCCATGATAACTGATAATACTTCAAGAGTAGGGAAAAAATAGATCAACTTAACTATAACTCTAATAGGCAAAACCTCAGTTCTTTCAACATTGGGATAAGACTCATTAATTTTAATAAAATCTCTTTTGTTCGTCTCATGAAATGCTTCTAGTTTCTGTCATATTTTGAATCCTGTCAGATTTGTCATCTCAGGTTTCTTACCTCTGATAATTCATAAACGTACATTTCTTCTACTAGTATCTTTGTTTCATCATTAATGAATAACATCAAATCTGAGAAACATGCATTTACTATGTGATCAAACATTTATTTGAAAACCTCTTCTTTTAAAGTCAAAGGTGGAATATTTTTCCACATCCTAGTCCTCAGGAGGCTCTGTCCTGTCTCTAGTATGCTGACAAGGTAACATTCTGCCAAGCAAACTTAATTTCCTTTCTTCCAAAGTAACTATAAGTGTTTGTATTATTCTTTTCACATTTTCATATCGAGTCACTCCAGAGAAAAGGGATAATGGGTTAAGGCTATTGCTCAATATTATGCCTTATTGTAAAATTTTTTTGCTATAATTTTTATAACCTTGAAATTATTGTAATATAACTGCATTTAGAGTAGCACAATGGTCGTAATTCATACTGCCTACGTTCAAATCTTAGCTTTGCCATTTAGAGCTATGTGTCTTTGGGCAATTTAATGAATTCTTCTGTGTCTCACTTTCCTCATGCATAATACAGATATTAATTGTATTTATCTCTGTTGTGGGGATGAAATGTGTTAGTAGATATATAGAGGTACAGGGCTTAGAAAATTCTCTGGCACATATTTGGAGTTCAAAAAATGGTAGTTATGTTTATTATTGTTGCTGTTGCTGCTGCTGCTCTTGTAACTATTCGGGTGCTCAGTATCCATGTGCCCTATATTAATAAGAGGAAGTTCTTAAAACTGCAGAAAACCATTTGAGTCATCTAGAAAAATATCGATCTTATTGTAGAGATGAAGCACATCTTTGCAGATAAGTTCTTTTTTCACTGCAGTATACATTTGACAGTTGTAATATAATTCTTTTCTTCTCCCTACATTTTTCTTTATGCAACATAAATATGCACAAAGAAGTATTAAAGCCTCTTAAGTGTATACAATTTTAATATGTGCATCTCAGCAATTCCAGGTATATTTGGGGAAAATCATAAAGTTATATTTTGGCAAATGTTATGATCCTTAGCTCAGTGAGGGCTTGAGGGTCTTGCAGAAGGAAGATTTTCATCTAGTGATAGAGTATCATTTTTTTTTCTTAACAAGATTGGAAAATATGTATATTATGTATATATATATATATACACACACACACACACATTTCATATCAATGTCTATAATTCTCATTGTTTTCTAGTTTCAAATTTTTATGATATTTAGTCACACCAAAAATCCTTGGATAGAATTTAAGTGACTTTCTTCAGAGTATTCAGTTGCAATGCCAGAAAAGGAGATGTAGTGTTTAATATAGTTAATTGGGGGGAGAGTGAGACCAATTGGTAGACATTTCAATATTGTTTCTCTGAGAGTAGAATAGGTTATAAAGGGACATAATCTAAGTATCTGCGTTTTTCAAATATTTGCTAGAGGTGTGCAGAGTAAGTAAAGGATAGAATCATAAAACTTCTAAGTTTTCTCTCCCTTTTTATATTGAAATGTCCTCATTTCATCCAAATATTTAGAGACTTACTTGAATATATTTTGTTTTCCTTTCCATAGAAACATTTTGTGATAACATTTACAATAACAAGATAATCTTGGTGTTACTTAATCATTGCTGAAAAGCACTGGGCTATGAAGATTTAGCTAAAAGAAAGGAAATTCAAGTTCTTATTTTTAAAATCCCCAAGTCAAGAACACCTCCTTTTTTTTTTTTTTTTTTTTTTTTTTTTTTTTTTTTTTTTGTAAGGAACAACTTTGAGAATCTAGCTGGCTGTTAAGTTATTCCTAAAAATGACCCAGATATACTCTTTTTGTCTTGCTGTTTCGAACTTTCAAAAAGGTACTATCTTCTGGGCTCAGAGTTTCATTATCACACAGTAGTAAGAGAAAATATCAGCAGACTCAGGATACAAGACAAAGAGAAGAAGAGTTTGCTAGTTTTATATCATATAAATATTTAGTATTTTTTAAAATATGTAACTGCTGTAATTCCTATTATAATAGACATTCCACCACTTTTGAAATTGTTAGATTAGATGGTGTTTTCGTTTGCATTCTCCAGAAGCAGACCTTGAAATGAAGATTGGAGGGAGAATAGCTTATTTGGGAGATCCAAGAAACACTTGTAGGAAAGTGGTGAGGCAAAGAAGGGAAGGAAACAGAAGTTAGCAGCTTTTATGGGTGACTGGAGTTCAAATCTTTTAGAAAACTCTGGGAAATTATATAACATACAAGTCTCAGAGTTATTTCACAAAAGAGACAAATAAACTGGGGTCTTTAACCTCTAACTCCTGTTAGTCATTGATTGAGGGCTGCTTCTGGAGGAATGAGGGAGTGTTGTTAATTTTCTGGTATTTTTGGCTTGATAGGCACTTGCCACAATGGTTTTCCTCCCCTCCTAAGTCTTCTAGTCAAAGGATTCAGATACCATTAGTTGCAAGTCGGACAACAGTCATTCAAGTGGTAAGGTTAAAGAGATGTAAGTAGGGTACTAACTCCATTTGTTACAAATGATCTACGCTGTTTTTCAAATTAAAGCTACCGAGTGTTCTTCTTAGGTGCTTGCAATCACACTTTTTCATTAAGTACCTCATTGCATAGGGATTGCTTATTTACGTGTATACTTTATTTTTGTTTACTTATGAAACTCCAGTGTATTTCCCAGTAGTTGCAGTAGTTGCTTAATAAACATTTCTTAAATAAATGAAAAAAGAATGTCCTCAGAATCAAGTATGTCATTTTACAATCTTCCATTATTAATTTTTTTCTAACAGTGGTAGTCTGTACCATTTCAATACATCTTATTTACTGGTAAGCTTTTTTTTTTTTTTTTTTTTTTTTTGAAACGGAGTCTCGCTCTGTTGCCCAGGCTGGAGTGCAGCGGCGCGATCTCCGCTCACTGCAAGCTCCTCCTCCCTGGTTCACGCCATTCTCCTGCCTCAGCCTCCCGAGTAGCTGGGACTACGGGCGCCCGCCATTGCGGCCGTCTAAGTGATTTTTTTTTTTTTTTTTTTTTTGTATTTTTAGTAGAGACGGGGTTTCACCTTTTTAGCCAGGATGGTCTGGATCTCCTGACCTCGTGATCCGCCCGCCTCGGCCTCCCAAAATGCTGGGATTACGGGCGTGAGCCACTGCGCCCGGCCATTTACTGGTAAGCTTTTTATAGTACTTTTAAACACACTTTATAACCTTCTGTACCCAGGAGTACTTTTTCAGTCACTCTACTGTCCCACCTCATTTCCGTTTAATTAGAAGTTAGATGTTCTCACTCATAAGTGGGAGTTGAACAATGAAAACACATGGACACAGGGAGGGGAACATCACACACCAGGGCCTATTGAGGGGTGGGGGTCTTGGAAGGGGAGGGAGAGCATTAGGACAAATACCTAATGCATGCAGGGCTTAAAACCTAGGTGACTGGTGAATAGGTGCAGCAAACCACCATGGCATATGTACACCTATGTAAAAAACCTGCACGTTCTGCACATGTATCCCAGAATTTAAAGTAAAATAAAAAAAAGAAGTTGGAGTGAAGGAAATAAAATGCCATCCCATGCCTTGACATACCCAGATATAGAGGATGAGTATATGAAAGACCAAAAGTGAGATGATCCAATCACATAAATAAGTATGAATTCCCAGGTAAGTGTATTTTACAGAGATGCAATGCAATTCAAGAGGTTGGCTCCACAGAGAAAAGAGAACAATAGATTGTCAGTAGGATTTTCAGTGAACAAGAGTTCCTGCCAGTTTGAGAGTGATCTAGGATATAATTACAGAAGTGCTGGCCAGATAGACAAGTTTACAAGGAAGATTAAGAGACTCTTTCATCAACTTAATGCTTCTTGTCAGTGCTTACATTTTCACACATATAATAAAATATTTTAAACATACTTGAATTTTGAATGATATTTTCAGTAGTTTGATTTCTTTGGTTCTTCTTATTCTTAAAGTTTATGCTCTCTGTTTTTGCTATGGCTTTCATTTTAAAATATAACTTATTATTATACCAATCTAACATCTGCCATCAAAATACACAGTGCTGAAGATTTTAACTTACTTCTGAATCAGAGTGCATTCTAAAACATTCAAAAGTGCTCATTTTGCTTATAGCAAATACATTTAAACTCATAGAGAAGTCGGTGTGTGTGTGCGCTTGTGTGCATGAACAAAAATCTACTTACCTAGCTATCTACCTGTCTATCTATGTATTTATACAGAGATGAAGAAGATGAAAAAGTATTTGAGAAGAGTTGCTTTAGTCCTGGCTAAGAAGTGATGATCTATTTATAGCTTTGTCTTTTTCCATGTTCTGTAAGGTAAGCCATGTCTCTCATCCATAATACTTAAAATTTGCAAAGTTTGCAAATAGATGAGAGGGATATACTGTTTGTTAAATACATGTGCAAAGATTTTATGACTTTAGGATGGTAGATCTTTGAGGTTGAGGTGCTGTGTAAAGAAGGAAAACTAAAAATTATTATTTCAAATAATTTCCAGAGCCTGTAAGTCATTTCAAATTTTAGATTTAGCAAGCAAGAGTAAACTGGGATTAATAATGGCTAACACTTTCTGTCATCATTATTTAATAGGTGCTGTCCTAAGCATTCTGCATAAATTTTCTCACTAAATCATAACAGTAACCCTAGTAATAGACACTATTATACTTCACATCTTGAGCGTAGTGTTAAAAACTTAAGTAAATTGGACCTTTATCTTATACCATACACAAACATCAATTCACAATGGATTAATGACTTAATGATAAAACCTGAAATCATATAACCCCTAAAAGAAAATATGTTACAATCTTCATAAAATTGGTCATCAACTTCATAAAACTGCCAATTCATAAAATTGGCAGTAATTTCATGGATATGACACAAAAAGCACAGGCAACAAATGCAAAAAAGGAAAAATGAGACTACATCAAACTAAAAAGCTTCTACACATCAAAAGAAACAATCAATAGAATGAAAGGCAACCTATGAAATGGGAGATAATATTTGTAAACCATGTATCTGATAAGCAGCTAATTTCCAAAATATGTAAGGGACTTGCACAACTCAATAGCAAAAATAAAACGAAAAAAAAATTGATTTTTAAAAGGGTAAAGGACTTGGATAGACATTTCTCCAAATAAGACATACGAATGGCCTACAGGTATAAGAAAAGTTGTTCAACATCACTAATCTTCAGGCAAATGCAAATTATAACCACAATGAGATATCACATAACATCTGTTAGAATAACTATTATCCAAAAAAATCAAAGCAAAACACAAAGATAACAAGTGTTGATAAAATTGTGGAGAAATTGGAACACTTGTACACTGTTGGTGGAAATGTTAAATGGTTTAGCTGTTACAGAAACCAGTATAGAAGCTCCTGGAAAACTTAAAAATAGAACTACCATATGATCTATCATTTCCAATTCTGGGTATATATATATATGAATGAAGTTAGGATTTTAAAGAGTTTGTGCACTCTCCTGTTCATTGAAGCATTATTCACAGTAACCAAGAGACACAGAAACAACTTACACATTCTTTGAAAGAATGTGTTACATTATTAGTTGAATTATCTCTCTTTATTTCATATGAGTTTAGCCACTTGAATTCAGGCATATTTCATTATTTTTTTTCTTCTCTATGAGAGTATGTTTCAACATGAAAGTGATAATAAAAAACTGCTCAGTTTATATACTAGCACTTTAAATTTGAGCAAAATGGTTCTTTGAGACACATAATAGAACAAAAAATGTAATTTGTTAGATATTAAAAAGAATTTACTCTGTTCAAGGGGCAAATTTATAATACAATTTGGAAAAATTAGTCAAATCTTCAAGTATGTGGCATATACATTCACAGAAAGAAGAGACAGAGTTTCAAACTAGGGGCTCCTCTTATTAGGTTAATTAGAGAGTTCAGCTCAAACAGAAAGATACATGTGGGAAAAGGGGACATTGTGACAAGTACCAGATTTATAATCACATAAATGCCTTTGCTACTTAAAAAACTTACTTCCTTGGACCCAGACTGACTATATTTGGAAAAGTGATTAATTCTATTATATTTCTATCTTTTTAGTTGCCTCGGCTCCTCTCTTTGCACCTTGATAACTGTGGGCTGCAAATACAGGAGTCAAAGTATGCAAGTATAGCAGGCCAATGAGTAAATTCAGGACATGCTTACTTCAACAATTTTGCTTTCGCATGACGTGCATTTTGCAATACATGTAATTTGCAAGGTTGAAATCTTGCAAAACTAAAAGCCAAATCTCAATGTAAATTCCTTTTCCCTTGTGTAAATATTTATTACTGTCCTAAAACAAAGATTCACCATTCAAAATGTCACTGAGCCAACTGCAGATTTACAGAAGATCCTAAACTTGACTAAGGAGAACTAAATTAAAATCAATTTATATAATTTTTGATAACTATTCTAGAGCCTTCCCCAGTGCTGTAGCTTATTAACAGGTGTTACATTACCCTAGCCAGCTGTCAGTAACTGCTATCACCACTGCACATATAAAATGTACACAGAAATACAGCAAATATATTTCCCTAATATCATTCACCTCTGAGGTTAGATAATGTCAAGTTTGCTTATCTATCCTCTCCATTCTGATTCATTATTCAAAGGGAAGATATTCAAGATTCACATTTTTTAAAAGTTGATTTTTCCAATCATTGTCATTGTTGATAAAAACTGACAAAATGCACTTTAAAATAGTTAGAAATATGTTCATTGCTATGCAAACACAAACTCTTAATGAATTTTTCTGCAAGTTAAATTATGGGAGAAAGTACCATGAAATTACATTTATTTTCAGTGTGACTTTCCCTTTCTAGTTATACACTTTTTTTTATCCCTGTGTTCTTTACAAGAACATAAGTCAACTCTACTCACTTTTCTCTTTTGTGAATTCTCTATACAGAATATCTTTTGGATAGATATACTAAGAAATAATTAAACTTAGAATTCTGATAAATTATTTGCCCCTCTAGCAAGTTAAAGTGTAAAGAACCACTTAAGATCTTAAACTTTTAGAGTTTATTTATTTCAAATTAACTCACATATTGTCAAAGCTGCTGATTTTCCTCAAGCTATTTTCATTTCCCGTCAATCTCCCATGAGGTGTTTCTCAAGTTCCCTTTCAGCTGGCACATGTCTATTTTCCAAATTCCTTGCTTGACAGTTAAAGCAAATGTTATGTTTTTTTCTACTCTACTGATCAAATTTCTCCCAAACATATTTTTAAATTTATGTCTCCCACCTGAATAGACTTGAAAGCGATATTCCTGGAAGTGGTGACTTCATATCAAAGTCAATTTCTTTATACGAATCCTGGCTCATGAGAATCAAGTCCTGTGTGACTGGGCACTCACTCAGCACAGAGGTTCAGCAATGATACCTGAACAGAATACATTCTAGGTGAGAGTGTTCTTAACAAATAATCTAGTCTACTTCCAAGGTCAAGTCTTTTTCAGAGTCAGACCTTTCCTCTGAAGGGCTTTATTATATCAGACAGTTTCCAACGGGAATAAAACTAGTCTTTTAAAATTGTTGAGCTTTATCTCATTCTCCTCCATCTGACAATCAGATATTAGAGATTTATGTAATCATGTGTCCAAAAGGGATTTAATGCTACTTTTTTCCTTTTTTCTTTTCCCCCACAGGTGCTTGAAAAATAAGTAGTTTTTCAAATGACAACTCATGTCTTTCTAGGTTAAAAAAAAGAAAATAATAATGTATTCATATCTTTCCCCATACAGTGGAGCTTCAGGTTTTGAGATACAGTGTTTGAAATGAGAGAAAGTTTTTTAATCCCCTTCTTCCATTTTAGTCAGATAAAAAATGCCAACTTATATTAAATGATGAATTTGATTTGTTCTCTAGGCTTAACTGCATGGATTTAACTTTAAAATTTTCTCAACAAAATAACAAGGAAGAATTTAATAATCTCTTATTTTATTTTATTTCATTTTTTTTGAGAAGGCATCTCCTCTGATGCCCAGGCTGGAGTGCAGTGGCCCGATCTCGGCTCACTGCAACTTCCACCTCCCAGGTTCAAGCAATTCCCCTGTCTCAGCCTCCTGAGTAGCTGGGATTACAGGCGCATGCCACCATGCCCAGCTAATTTTAATAATTTCTTATACACTGACAATTTTAAAAAATGTTTTACTTCTATTTTTTTAAAAAAAATGTTAGGTAAATATTATTAAGCCCATATTTCTTGATATTGAGAACTGGATATTTAAATAAGTTGTTGAGGTCTCAAAATGTAAACACAAAAAACTAAAATCAGTATTGCAGTTAGGCTTTTAAATAAAGGCTAATTGCAAATATCTAATTGCTAAGTTCATACTTGTGTAACAAATAGATATCTGTAGCCTGGACCAGTATAGAGAGAGTACAGGATAAAACTAATTTACACTCTTAGACACCAGCTTGAAGAAACTGATGGGTTATGATGTTTTGAGTCATAGAAGGAATGAGATATAAATAATAATGTTAAATATGTTCTATTAGTTTTTCAAATGACAACTCATGTCTTTCTAGGTTAAAAAAAAGAAAATAATAATGTATTCATATCTTTCCCCATACAATGGAGCTTCAGGTTTTGAGATACAGTGTTTGAAATGAGAGAAAGAGTATCCAAATAGTACCTATTTGGATCTAAGGATCATGTTGGTACCATAGAGACACTAAATCACAACATTATGAATACCTAGATAAAATTTTGTATATCCTATTCAAATAAGACCGTTTATGTCATGACATAGTATGTTCAATGTCTTTGTTTTGAATTTTTTTTTTATTATACATTAAGTTCTGGGATACATGTGCAGAACAAGCAGATTTGTTACATAGGTATACATGTGCCATGGTGGTTTGCTGCACCCATCAACCCGTCATCTACATTAGGTATTTCTCCTAATGCTATCCCTCCCCTAGCCCTTCACCCTGCAACAGGCCCCGGTGTGTGATGTTCCCCTCCCTGTGTCCATGTGTTCTCATTGTTCAACTCCCACTTATGAGTGAAAACATGCAGTGTATGATTTCCTGTTCTTGTGTTAGTTTGCTGAGAATGATGGTTTCCAGCTTCATCCATGTCCCTGCAAAGGACATGAACTCATTCTTTTTTATGGCTGCATAATATTCCATGGTGTATATGTGCCACATTTTCTTAATCCAGTCTATCATAGATGGGTATTTGGGTTGGTTCCCATTCTTTGCTATTGTGAACAGTGCTGCAATAAACATGCATGTGCATGTGTCTTTATAGTAGAATGATTTCTAATCCTTTGGGTATATACCCAGTAATGGGATTGCTGGGTATTTCTGGTTCTAGATCCTTGAGGAGTCACCACATTGTCTTGCACAATGGTTAAACAAATTTACACTCCCATCAAGAGTGTAAAAGTGTTCCTATTTCTTCACATACTCTCCAGCATCTGTTGATTCCTGACTTTTTAATGATCTCCATTCTAATTGGTGGCGTGATATGGTATCTCATTGTGGTTTTGATTTGCATCTCTCTAACGACCAGTGATGATGAGCTTTTTTTCATATATTTGTTGGCTGCATAACTGTCATCTATTGAGAAATGACTGTTCATATCCTTTGCCCACTTTTTGATGGGGTTATTTTTTTTCTTGTAAATTTGTTTAAGTTCCTTCTAGTTTCTGGATATTAGCCCTTTGTCGGATGGATAGAGTACAAAAATTTACTCCCATTCTGTAGGTTGCCTGTTCACTCTGAAGTTGGTTTCTTTTGCTGTGCTGTTCTTCTTGAAGATGGTTTCTTTTGAAGATGGTTTCTAATTAAACAGAAGCACAGTTTAAATAGATCTCATTTGTCAATATTGGCTTTTGTTGCCATTGGTTTTGATGTTTTAGTAATAAAGACTTTGCCTATGCCTGTGTCCTGAATGGTATTGCCTAGGTTTCCTTCTAGGGTTTGTGTGGTTTTAGGTCTTACATTTAGGTGTTTAATCCATCTTAAATTAATTTTTGGATAAGTTATAAGGAAGGGGTCCAGTTTTAGTTTTCTGCATATGGCTAGCCAGTTTTCCCAGCACCATTTATTAAATAGGGAATCCTTTCCCCATTGCTTGTTTTTGTCAGGTTTGTCAAAGATCAGATGGTTGTAGATGTGTGGTGTTATTTCTGAGGTCTCTGTTCTCTTCCATTGGTATATATATCTGTTTGGTAGCAGTACCATGCTTTTTTGGTTACTGTAGCCTTTGAAGTCAGGTAGCATGATGCCTCCAGCTTTGTTCTTTTTGCTTAGAATTGTCTTGGCTATGTGAGCTCTTTTTTGGTTCCATGTGAAATTTAAAGTAGATTCTTCTGATTCTGTGAAGAAAGTCAATGGTAGCTTGATGGGGATAGCATTGAATGTATAAATTACTTTGGGCAGTATGGCCATTTTCATGATATTGATTCTTCCTATCCATGAGCATGAAATGTTTTTCTATTTGTTTGTGTCCTCTCTTATTTCCTTGAGCAGTGGTTTGTAGTTCTCCTTGAAGAGGTCCTTCACATCCCTTGTAAGTTGGATTCCTAGGTATTTTATTCTCTTTGTAGCAATTGTGAATGGGAGTTCACTCACGATTTGGCTCTCTGTCTATTATTGGTGTATAGGAATGCCTGTGATTTTTGGACATTGATTTTGTGTCCTGAGACTTTGCTGAAGTTGCTTATCAGCTTAAGGAGATTTGGGGCTGAGATGATGGAGTTTTCTAAATATACAATCATGTCATCTGCAAAGAGAAAAAGTTTGACTTCCTCTCTTCCTATTTGGATACTCTTTATTTCTTTCTCTTGCCTGATTGCCCTGGCCAGAACTTCCATAACTATGTTGAATAGGAGTGGTGAGACAGGGCATCCTTGTCTTGTGCTGGTTTTCAAAGGGAATGCTGCCAGTTTTTGCCCATTCAATATGATATTGGCTATGGGTTTGTCATAAATAGCTCTTATTATTTTGAGATATGTTCCATTAATATCAAGGTTATTGAGAGTTTTTAGCATAAGGAGTGTTGAATTTTGTCGAAGGCCTTTTCTGCCTCTACCGAGATAATCATGTGGGTTTCGTCATTGGTTCTGTTTATGTGATGGATTACGTTTATTGATTTGCATATGTTGAACCAGGCTTGCATCCCAGGGATGAAGCCGACTGGATCATGGTGGATAAGCTTTTTGATGTGCTGCTGGATTCGGTTTGCCAATATTTTACTGAGGATTTTCACATCGATGTTCATCAGAGATATTGGCCTGAAATTTTCTTTTTTTGTTGTGTCTCTGTCAGGCTTTGGTATCATGATGATGCTGGCCTCATAATATGAGTTAGAGAGGGTTTTCCTCTTTTTCTATTGTTTGAAATAGTTTCAGAATGTGTACCTCTGGTAGAATTCGGCTGTGAATCCTTCTGGTCCCGGGCTTTTTTTGGTTAGTAGGCTATTAATTACTGCCTCAATTTCAGAATTTGTTATTGGTCTTTTCAGGGATTCGACTTGGGAGGTTTAGACTTGGGAGGGTGTAAGTGTTCAGAAATTTATTCTTTTCTTCTAGATTTTCTAGTTTATTTGCATAGAGGTGTTTTTAGTACTCTCTGATGGTAGTTTGTATTTCTGTGGGATCAGTGGTGATCTCCCCTTTATCATTTTTTATTGTGTCTATTTGATTCTTCTCTCTTTTCTTCTTTATTAGTCTGTCTAACGATCTATGCATTTTGTTAATCCTTTAAAAAAACCAGCTCCTGGATTCCTTGATTTTTCGAAGGGGTTTTCATGTCTCTATCTCTTTCAGTTCTGCTCTGATCTTAGTTATTTCTTGTCTTCTGCTAGCTTTTGAATTTGTTTGCTCTTGCCTCTTTATTTCTTTTCATTGTGATGTTAGGGTGTCAATTTTAGATCTTTCCTGCTTTCTCTTGTGGCTATTTCGTGGTATAAATTTCCCTCTAAACACTGCTTTAGCTATGTCCGACAGATTCTGTTACATTGTGTCTTTATTCTCACTGTTTTCAGGGAACTTATTTATTTCTGCCTTAATTTTGTTATTTACCCAGCAGTCATTCAGGAGCAGGTTGTTCAATTTCCATGTAGTTGTGCGGTTTTGAGTCAGTTTCTTAATCCTAAATTCTAATTTGATTGCACTGTGGTCTGAGAGACTGTTAGTTATGATTTCCGTTCTTTCATATTTGCTGAGGAGTGTTTTACTTTCAATTATGTGGTCAATTTCAAACAAGTGTGATGTGGTGCTGAGAAGAATGTATATTCTGTTGATTTGGGTGGAGAGTTCTGTAGATGTCTATTAGGCCTGCTTGGTCCAGAGTTGAGTTCAAGTCCTGAATATTCTTGTTAATTTTCTGTCTGAAAGGGTCCAGCCCCTCCACACCTGTGGGTATTTCTCATCAGGTGGGACAAGAGACTGAGAGAAGAAATAAGACACAGAGACAAAGTATAGAGAAAGAACAGTGGGCCCAGGGAACCAGTGCTCAGCATACGGAGGACCTGCACTGGCAAAGGTCTCTGAGTTCCCTCAGTATTTATTGATCACTGTCTCTACTGTCTCGGTGAGGGGGATGTGGCAGGACTCTAGGGTAATGGTGGGGAGAGGGGCAGCAGGAAAACATGTGAGCAAAGGTCTCTGTGTCATAAATAAGTTTAAGGAAAGGTTCTGTGCCTTGATGTGCACATAGGCCAGATTTATGTTTGACTTTACACAGGCATCTCAGTGCAGTAAAGAGCAGTATTGCCGCCAGCATGTCTCACCTCCAGCCATAAGGCGGTTTTCTCCTATCTCAGTAAATAGAATATATGATCGGGTTTCACACTGAGACGTTCCATTCCCAGGGACGAGCAGAAGACAGATGCCTTCCTCTTATCTCAACTGCAAAGAGGCCTTCCTCTTTCACTAATCCTCCTCAGCACAGACCTTTTACGGGTGTCGGGCTGGGGGACAGTCAGGTCTTTTCCTTCCCATGAGGCCATATCTCAGGCTGTCTCAGTGGGGAGAAACCTCGGACAATATCCAGGCTTACTTGGGCAGAGATCCCTAAGGCCTTCCGCAGTGCATTGTGTCCCTGGGTACTCGAGACTGGAGAATGGTGATGATTTTCACCAAGCATACTGCCTGCAAACACATTTTTAACAAAGCACATCCTGCACAACCCTAAATCCATTAAACCTTGAGTCAACACAGCATATGTTTCTGCGAGTACAGGGTTGGGGCTAGGGTTGCAGATTAACAGCATCTGAAGGCAGAAGAATTTTTCTTAGTACAGAACAAAATGGAGTTTCTTATGTCTTCTTCTTTCTACCTAGACACAGTAACAGTCTGATCTCTTTCTTTCCCCCACACTGTCTCATTGATCTAATATTGACAGTAGGGTGTTCAAGTCTCCCACTATTACTGTGTGGGAGTCTAAGTCTTTTTTAGGTCTCTAAGAACTTGCTTTATGAATCTGGGTGCTCCTATATTGGGTTCATACATATTTAGGATAGTTAGCTCTTCTTGTTGCATTGATCCCTTTACCATTTATATAGTGCCCTTCTTTGTTTCTTTTGATCTTTTTTGGTTTAAAGTCTGTTTTATCAGAGACTAGGATTACAACCCCTGCTTTTTTTTTGCTTTCTATTTGCTTGGTAGATCTTCCTCCATCCCTTTATTTTGAGCCTATGTGTATCTCTGGATGTGAGATGGGTCTCCTGAATACAGCACACCAATGAGTTTTGACTGTTTTCCAATTTGCCAGTCTGTGTCTTTTAATTGGGGCATTTAGCCCATTTACATTTAAGGTTAATATTGTTGTGTGTGAATTTGATCCTGTCATTACAATGCTAGCTGGTTATTTTGCCCATTAGCTGATACAGTTTCTTCATAGTGTCTATGGTCTTTACAATTTGGTATGTTTTTCAGTTGCTGGTACAGTTTGTTCCTTTCCATGTTTAGATCTTCCTTCAGGAGCTCTCGTAAGGCAGGCCTGGTGGTGACAAAATCTCTCAGCATTTGCTTGTCTGTAAAGGATTTTATTTCTCCTTCACTTATGAAGTTTAGTTTGGCTGGATATGAAATTCTGGGTTGAAAATTCTTCTCTTTAAGAATGTTAGATATTGGTCCCCACTCTCTTCTGGCTTGTAGGATTCCTGCAGAGAGATCTGCTGTTAGTCTGATGGGCTTCCCTTTGTGGGTAATCCGACTTTTCTCTCTGGCTGCTCTTAACATTTTTTCCTCATTTCCACCTTGGTGAATCTGATGATTGTGTGTCTTGAGGTTGCCCTTCTCAAGGAGTATCTTTGCGGTGTTCTCTGTTTTTCTTGAATTTGAATGTTGGCCTGTCTTTCTAAGTTGGGGAAGTTCTCCTGGATAATATCCTGAAGGGTATTTTCCAATTTGGCTGAAGGGTGTTTTCCAACTTGGTTCCATTCTCCCCATCACTTTCAGGTACACCAATCAAATGTAGGTTTGGTCTTTTCACACAGTCCCATATTTCTTGGAGTCTTTGTTCGTTCCTTTTCATTCTTTTTTCTCTAATCTTGTCGTAACACTTTATTTCATTAAGGTGATCTGCAATCTCTGATATCCTTTCTTCCACTTGATCGATTCAGCTACTGATACTTGTTTATGCTTCACGAAGTTCTCGTGCTCTGTTTTTCAGCTCCATCTAGTCATTTATGTTTTTCTCTAAGATGGTTAGTCTAGTTAGCTATTTGTCTAACCTTTTTAAGGTTCTTAGCTTCCTTGCATTGGGTTAGAACATGTTCCTTTAGCTTGGAAGAGTTTGTTATTACCCACCTTCTGAAGCCTACTTCTATCAATTTGTCAAACTCATTCTCCATCCAGTTTTGTTCCCTTGCTGGTGAGGAGTTGTGATCCTTTGGAGAGAAAGAGATGTTCTGGTTTTTGAAAGTTAAAAAGGCTGTCCAATATCTTTAACTCATTAAGTGCAAGGTACTTTTGAAACTATTCAACACTGTATTTTTTTTTTTTTGTAAAAGAAATTGGGTCATAAATCTTACAGTATACTCCAGTTAATGCAGCACTTGACTTAACTTGATGCTTTTTAAGAAATGACAGAAAAATGACTTTTTTGGGGGGGTTCTTTGTTCAGAAGATGACAATTGTTTTGTTTTCAACACATAATTTCCACTTTCAGTTTTCCTCTGATTTGAGGTCAGATGAATGTTATTCCTTGTTCTGGAGAAATACGTCAACATTATTTTGTAATACATGTAACTATTTTACATCAAGTAACATACCTTTGCATTATTTAGTCTGCTAAAATGCTACACACGCTCATGTATGCTTACAAAACTCAGCTATGTGGATATTCAATGATGCCTAAATGTTATTAGGTATTATTTTGTTTATAATTTCTACTTGATGCAGTAGTACCTGCCTAAGGAATGATATCCTCTGCATCTTTACACTTTTTTTCCACATTTTATTGGGTTTTAGTAAGAATTCCTTAAAAAACAAACTTTATCAGACATTCTGATAATTACAATATGAGGTGGTTGAGTGATCCCTTCAGCAGAAAACAAATACAAAACTGAAAAAATCAAAATATCATAATTTAGAATACCAGAAAACAATCAAATGCAAACAACAAATTGAGAAACAATTTTTCAAAACTCCAATATTATTAGGTTAGAATGGTGGCAAATCTACAGCCTTCTTGTTTGAGGCTATTGCCATCCTACTCACCAGCTTAATTAGAGAAAACTATAGCTTTCACTGTTTGTGGTTGACGACTAAACCTAGTGACTTTGAAATAAGAGATGAAAGACACAATAGAAAGCTTCGGGGTAGTAGGATGTAGCAAAAACCCATGGCTTTTCCAGTTAAATGTAAGACTAGCTTTGTAACTACTGGAAAAAAACTTAGTTTTTCAATCCTGAGGTTACAGGCCAAGTGTGGGTTGAGAGAAAGAACAGCTAGGATTTGACAGGAAGATCTGTAAGTGAGATAAAAAATAGAAATACTGATATAAAAAGCTGTAAATATTTATAGCTGATTTCTCAATTGTGCACATATGGAGAAATCTAGGAGGTCTCTGCAAAAAATAGAAGCCAAGGAAAATTCGAGAACCGGCTTTGACTTTGAAGAAGTTTCTTAAGCCACACACCTTGGTTTGCTAAAGTTAGAAGCATTATAGACTTAAGGTACGTAAACACAACATCCACCTGCGTCATTGGCTGACCACCAAACTCTGAAGCCATACTATGAATTCTCCTGCATCTCCCAAGAAAAGTAAAAAAGAAAAAAACTGATCAGATATAATCACAACTGCACACCCTAACACAATCTCATGTTAGTATACCTGTTCATCAAATCTTTGCCCTCAAGTCACCATAATGTCTGAGACAGATAAAACTGAATAACTATGAGAAGAAAATGAGACCAAAAGTTAAAATTTCGATATTAATTGCTATGAATTGAATTAATTGATTTTAATTAACCGTTCTACAAAACCCTTCAGGCAGGCAGGAGAGTCTACCTGAGTTGGTTGTTGAAATATTTATTGGATTTAAAAATGCAGAGTTGATGTGGAATAAACATTTTTGGAAGAGGAATCAACATAGGTAAATGCACGTAGGCTCTAAACATCACATCATGGTGCTTTGAAAGCATCAAAAATAATAGGGATGCTTCTCTACTAAAGTAAAACCCTAAGATTTTCTTTCAGAAACAATCTTATAAAGAAGTATATATTAGCAATCTTTTTCATTAAAATAAATGGGCAGTATATTATTATGTTAAAGTTACAATGTCAAAATTGAATTACTCTGATTTTTTTTTTTAACCTTCTTTGGGTTTTAAACATTTTTTTTTTTTTCTGTTTCTGAGACAAAGTCTCATTCTGTCGCCCAGGCTGGAGTGCCATCACGCAATCTCATGACCTTGGCTCACTGCAACCTTCACCTCCTGGGTTCAAGCTATTCTCCTGCCTCAGCCTCCCAAAGTGCTGGGATTACAGGCATGAGCCACTGTGCTTGGCCTTAAATATGTTTTCAAATCTCCCAACCTAGCACCTGTAAATATATTTTTTGACAATATATATTTTTTCTTTAAGAACTCATGATATGGGTGACCTTTGCAATATAAAATTATGATCGTGTAAGAGAAAACCAAAGAAATATAGTGAAATCAGACAAAATTATTAGTCTGTGTAACCCTTTTTAAGGAAATCAAGTGCATATCAATACAGATGTTAAGAAACAAACTAGAAAACATCTATTCATGTATAATATTCTTTTAAAAATTATAATAGGATTTACCTGAGGTATTACATTCAACATTAGTTTACCAATATGCAATTAAAATAAATTTACCTAATTTACAAAGTAATGTTTATTTGTACTTACGTAATCTTAGGAATGATTAAAGCTGGCTAGAGCAATCCAGATGGTAGAGTAACTTTTCAAGAAATTGCCTAATAGAGTTCCTACTTGAGCCAAGTGTCTACATTTCTAGCTTGTTTATATTCCACTCCATCATGCAGCTTCTGAGTATTTCACTTTGAAAGTCACTCTGAGGTTAAGTTCTGATCAGACATTTTTTCAGGTGACCTGCAAGTAGCATTTCAGGTCCAAAATTTTGGAAGTGTTGGTTTTTAAAAAATAATTTATCTTTTTATAAACATAATCAGTTTTTTATCAAAATCAA
Organism: Homo sapiens; assembly: GCF_000001405.40. Taxonomy (NCBI): domain Eukaryota; kingdom Metazoa; phylum Chordata; class Mammalia; order Primates; family Hominidae; genus Homo; species Homo sapiens. The sequence goes on from NC_000012.12 coordinate 73,353,232, forward strand.
CATTGTCAGATAAGATAAATGAACAAGATGTGTTAAGGAGATAAATTTTGAAACAAAAAATTTACTACATTGATTGCACAGATTCACAATTTAAAAGTAAGTGTATATTTATTTTATTTTCAGCTTCTTAACACAATGTAAACTTATACCTGCTTCTGCTTCAGAAGACCCTGAAGTTTATAGAAAGCTAAAAGAAAACTTAAGGTGCTCATTTGTAAGTTATACCAAGTCTTTTAGAATATATACTATTGTGCTAAATGGGACTGGATTGGATTGGCTAAAATAAACTGAATAAATTAGAAGTTAAGAGAGTCTCATAAAATTTCGGAGACTTTTCCTGCATAGCTTTTGGTACCAATCCAGAAATAAAGAGGGAGGTGTAAATGAAAAATTATTTCAAACCATATTGTCATGGTGACAAATAAGAATATGATAATAATACTTTAACTTTTATGAATCACATAAAGTTCTGACTAATTTTAGCTGTACTTTCTCTCAAGTTTTGATTTTCACCCTTTTGCCAATAATCAATATCAATTTACACTAAATAAACTCCACCATTTACATACTATTGGCACTATATTTTCCTAGTTATCATTGTTAAATGCTTAGAAAAAAGTACTAAAATCTTAAGTGGTAATATAAAAATATTTGGCATTCATTTTTTAAATGAAAAGGCACTATTAGGTTTTAAAATGGGGTAATCATTTTGGAGAGTTAAAATCAGGCAAGTATCGAGACAGAGTATATAAACTAACATGTCTCAAGGGATATTTATATAAAATATAAATATAAAATATCTTGAAATATAGGATATAGAAAATAAATTATTTTAAATAATCTATATATACATATTAAATGTTACTACACAGTAAGAGTTTTTCATTAAACTATGTCTCCTTTTAGCACCATCCTAATGTCAAACAATTTTTTTCTACGTGTATTGTTTTAGATATAATAATCAATTAGAAACATTTATAGTATTTCTAATAAACAGATACTCATTATGCAGGCTTATTTAAAAATAATTGTGACATGAAACTTACTATATATATACTCTTTATGGAGACCCATATTTTAAATATGAAATAATGGATAAATTATTCAAGCATTTATCTCATAGTTCTTTATTTACTTTATTATGATACACCCTGACATAGGCTATCAGTGAAGTGTTCAAATGTAAAATGCATAACTCTCTTCACTTTGTAATGAAAAAAAGTAAAGTGCTTTTAAGGAACTATCATCCTTATGAGAAGAAACACAACAGAGCCTGCTTCCTCTCTCTACTCTCCACCATTTGAGAACACAACTAGAAGAATACCATGAGAAGATGGCCACCTGCAAACCAGGAAGAAGGCCTTCACCATTAACTTCACCATGCTGGCATTATAATCTAGGACTTTTAGCCTCTAGAACTGTGAGAAATGGATATTTGTTGTTTAAGCAATCAAATAGCATTGTTAGATGAAAGCCTTTGCTATGGATCAAATGATACTCAACACTCAACATCTCCCCATCCGTCCCAAAAAAGTCAAAGCGGCCGGGCACGGTGGCTCACGCCTGTAATCCCAGCACTTTGGGAGGCCGAGGCGGGCGGATCGCAAGGTCAGGAGATCAAGACCATCCTGGCTAACACGGTGAAACCCCATCTGTTCTAAAAATACACACACACACACAAAAAATTAGCCGGACGTGGTGGCAGGCGCCTGTAGTCCCAGGTACTTGGGAGGCTGAAGCAGGAGAATGGCGTGAACCTGGGAGGCGGAGCTTGCAGTGAGCCGAGATGGCGCCACTGCACTCCAGCCTGGGCACAGAGCGAGACTCTATCTCAAAAAAAAAAAAAAAAAAGTCAAAGCTCAGAGGGGAAAACTTTGCTTAATTTTTGTCAATCTGTGTCAGATATCAGCCCATAATTTCTACCTCAGTGTTAAAAAGTTTTCACTGTATGGGTAAATCCTTGCAACCTGATAAAGATACACTTACCTCTGCCCAAAAAGAACAGAATTAAATATATTGCCAAAATTTCATTATCTATGTCAATAAAGGGGAACAAAGAATGAGATAATACGGATCCATAGTTAATTCAAAATACATCATATTTTTTCAGTGCAATAGATTACTTCTTTTTCCACCTTATTAAGCATGATTTACTAAGGTGATTTCTGAAATTGATTTATAGTATTTTAGCACACACTCTGAGGTGTATCAGAATGGCCTAGGTGACAAATAGAAAATTTCTTAGAACAAACAATTATTCCCATTAATTTTTAAATAAGACATTTTTTATTTGTGAATTCACAAGGCAGATACTGGTTCTGTGGCATCTGACATTTATACAATTTTAGAGGTCCTCCTTAAGTAAAAAAAAAATACAAAGATAAAATTATACCACAAAAGTGAATCTTAATTAAAAGTGGTCATAATTTATTGTAATCAAATACTAAAATATTACATATTTTACAAAACTGTATGAACATATTTCTAGAGCCCTTGGAAGATACCAATTCAAATGAGGAGCTCTCAAACTCAAGCTTCCTTAGCTTCACTGTAAATCTTTCATGACTCTGCAGGCAATTTGAAATTCACTTCTAGGCCTGAAGGTAACATGGAGATGAAAGTTTTGATGTTATCCAGCCAGAGGTCAGCAAGGAAGTCATAAGATTGGAAGGGATGACAGGAAGAAGGAGAAGTTGTTCACAACTGAATGGAGTCTCTAACAGAGAACAGAAGAATTAGCCAGTAAATAGTTATTCAGCTAGTGGAGTTGACAAATATAGGAATGAGAGTACAGGTAATATAGCAGCAGAAAGGAATTTGTTGTGGTAATTTTTAAATAACATGAATGAAAGAGAAAAGAGGTTAGACCAACCCAGTCCCAAAGTTCTAAGAAAAAGTCCTTCTATTTATTGGTTTGATGCGCAAATGTTTCTTGATGGCAGAGACCAATAGTTTGAAAGCCAACCTACGCAGATCAAGGGAGAATACCTCTTTAGCTTTAATGTATACTACTTTCAAACCTTAGCAACAGGGGTTAATGTGCAATGCCTTAATTTCCAGAGGATTTTTACCATGATAATGTTGAGTTACATAGATCAATGGTTGTAAAAATGTAGCAGTCAATAATCTTTAAATCTCTTGCTCTCAAAGTTATTAGCTAATTTCTGGGATTTAGCTGTGACTCCTCTCCCTATCTCAGTCTCAAGCACATTTCATCTTCACTATTACAAAGCAAACATGTTGTCCCTTAGGAAGATATTCCCTGTGCCACGTAAAATCACCAACTGTGAATATTTCTCAGGCATAATTGTTCATTTAGCCACTTTACCAACACACAAATCCAACTGGAACATTCAAAAAGAGAAAGGTAGTATAGAGCTTGTTTCGGAGATCCTTTCCTATTACTCTTGGCTGTCTCTGTTAAGTCAGCCCAGGGAAATTCTACTCCTAGATTACTCATGCACTCTTTCAAAAAATTATTTCATGTAAGCTTTGGAAAATTGGATGAAATATTCCTACAAGCTACCATTGACTTTCTTCACAAAACTAGAAAAAGTTACTTTAAATTTGATATGGAACCCAAAAAGAGCCCATATAACTAAGACAATCCTAAGCAAAAAGAACAAAGCTGGAGGCATCAGGCCACCTGACTTCAAACTATACTAAAAGGCTACAGTAACCAAAAAAGCATAGTACTGGTACCAAAACAGATATACAGACCAATGGAACAGAACAGATAACTCAGAAATAACACCACACATCTACAACCATCTGATCTTTGACAAACCTGACAAAAACAAGCAATGGGAAAGGATTCCCTTTTCAATAAATCGTGCTGGAAAACTGGCTAGCCATATGTGGAAAACAGAAACTGGAACTGTTCCTTACACCTTATACAAAAATTAACTCAAGATGGGTTAAAGACTTAAACGTAAGACTTAAAACCATAAAAACCCTAGAAGAAAACCTAGGTAATAACATTCAGGACACAGACATGGGCAAAGATTTCATGAATAAAACACCAAAAGCAATGGCAACAAACCTGAAATTGACAAATGGATTCTAATTAAACTAAAGAGCTTCTGCTCAGCAAAATAAGCTATCATCAGAGTGAATAGGCAGTGTACAGAATGAGAGAAAATTTTTGCACTCTATCCATCTGACAGAGGTCTAATATCCAGAATCTACAAGGAACTTAAACAAATTTACAAGAAAAAAGCAACCCTATCAAAAAGTGGGCAAAGGATATGAACAGACACTTCTCAAAAGAAGACATTTATGTGGCCAACAAACATGAAAAAAACCTCATCATCACTGATTATTAGAGAAATGCAAATCAAAACCACAATGAGATACCTACTCATGCCAGTTAGAATGGTGATTATTAAAAAGTCTGGAAACAACAGATGCTGGTGAGGATGTGGAGAAATAGGAATGCTTTTACACTGTTGGTGACAGTGTAAATTAGTTCAACCATTTTGGAAGACAGTGTGGCGATTCCTCAAAGATCTAGAACCAGAAATACCATTTGACCCAGTAATCCTATTACTGGGTATATACCCAAAAGATTATAAATCATTCTACTATAAAGACACATGCACATATATGTTCATTGCAGCACTATTTACAATAGCAAAGACTTGGAACCAACCCAAATGCCCATCAGTGATAGACTGGATAAAGAAAATGTGCACATATATGCCATGGAATACTATACAGCTATTAAAAAGAATGAGTTCATGTCCTTTGCAGGGACATGGATAAAGCTGGAAACCATCATTTTCAGCAAACTAACACAATACTGCATTGTGAAAACCAAATACTGCATGTTCTCACTCATCAGTGGGAGTTGAACAATGAGAACACATGGACACAGGAAGGGGGACATCCACACCGGGGCCTATCGGGGAATTGGTGGGCAAAGGGAGGGACGCCATTAGGACAAATACCTAATACATGTGGGGCTTAAAACTACATAACAAGTTGATAGGTGCAGCAAACCACCATGGCACATGTATACCTATGTAACAAACCTGCACGTTCAGCACGTGTATCCCAGAACTTAAAGTAAAATCAAAAAAAAAAAAAAAAAGAATAAAAACACTGGGCTGGGCATGATGGCTTATGCCTGTAATCCCAACAATGTGTGAGGCTGAGGCAGGAGGATCACTTGAGCTCAGGAGTTCAAGACCAGCCTTAGTAACATAGTGAGAACCCATCTCTACAACATTAAAAACAAACAAAAAATATCATCCCAGTATTGTAGCATGCACCTATAGTTCCAGCCACTTGGGAGGCTGAAGCAAGAGGATCCTTTGAGCTCGGGAGGTTGAGGATGCAGTGAGCCATGATTGTGCCACTGCCCTCCAGCCTGGGTGACAGAGTGAGATGTGTCTCAAAAAAAAAAAAAAAAAAAAAGAATAAAATTATAATATCAAAATAGATTTAATTCATCATTTATGTGATAACTACTTAACACAGTATTTCATTGAAGAAAATTTTGTAAGATAACTGCTATTATTTACCCCATTTTAACAAACAAAGAAATTATATTGTTATGAGATTGAGTAACTTACTTAGTCATACAATTACAAATACAAAATTTTTAACACGTATCATGCTCATTATAGGCTGGAGGTTGATCTAAGCTACTTATATACTAATATATTTAATCGTTATACTAATCCTATGAAGTAAGTAATAATACTATTCCTGTTTCCTAGATTAAGAAACTGAAACACAGAGTCATTAAATAATTTGGCCAAGGTCATATAACAACTATGGGGCAGACTCAGTGTTTATGCTGAGCTGGTTAGGCCATGGAGTTCATCCTGTTACTGGCTATATTTAAAATTTGTTTACTGAGAAAAAATTAATATTAATTGATTTCAAAATATTCTAGAATTAGCCATTCTAAGAAAACCAGCAGGTAAAAGAAAAATAATAATAAAATTGAAGATTTTTCCTCCATAGGGAAAAAAATTGCAACTCTATTTTTTAATTCATATTGAAGGTGATCAACTTGTCTGATAATAGATGCAAGTCAAAGTTAGAGGAAGATGTAACTGAGCTAACGAGAAAATATTTTGTTTGTTTGAAATGCCAGATATAGCAAAAAATATCTGAGATATTTAACATTTTCTAAAGTAATTCACACAGTTACAGACTAAAATACATGTGATCATCTCAATCAGTGAAGGAAAATATTTGAAAATTCAATACCCATAAATGACAAAAATCTCTCAGCTACCTACAAATATAAGGTGCTTCATCAGTGCAATAAAGGGCTTATACAGAAAAGCATACAGTTCACATCATACTTAGCAATGAAAGAGTAAATACTTTCCCCCAAAGATCAAAAATAAATCTAGATGTTAATTCTCCCTATTTTTAGTCAACATATTTACTGGAGTTTCTAGAGAATGCAATAGCGAAGCAAATGAAATGTATATCATTCAGATCCGAATAGATGAAAAAAAAATTCTTTCATTCTTACAACATGATTATCTCTATAGAAAATCGTAATGAACACATAAACATTTCAGTAGAACTAATAAATAGTTTTGGAAAATTTTCAGGATAAAAGATGAATCAGTGAATCTATGTATGACTAATAAAAAATAAGAATTTACAATGATAAAATATACCAAAATACAATATTTAATAACATCAAAAATATATATTTAGGAAATTTTGACAAACGTGCATGGCAAATATAGTGAAAACAACTTACTGAGATAAATTAAGCAAGACCTAAGTAAATGCAGAGTTATACCGTTTTCACAGGTATAGAAACATCTATATTAGGATGTCATTTTTTTTCCCAAATTAATATTTAAATTTAACACAATCCTAATCAACATCCCAAAAGGCTTTTATAAATATAATTTTGCAGGCTAATTCTAAAATTGATACGGAAATGCAAAGAAACAAAAATGATCAAAACAAATTTGGAAGAATAAGAACAATTTTGGAGGACTTACACTATCTGATGTTTATATTTATTACAAGGCTACTATAAGAAAGACACTGTGAGACTGGCAAAAAGATAGTCATATAGATCATATAGAAGAGACCAGAAATAGGCATATACTCTCTAGTCAGTTACATTATCAAAATATTGCCAAAGCAAGTTACTGAGGAAATCATTATCTTTTCTAAAAGAATAGTACTAAGATAATTGAAAAGCTTTCTTCAAAAAAGAGATGTCAACCAGATAAAAAGCTACATCATCAGATTTTTTAAAGATATAAAAAAAAACTTGAAGCATATACTTAAATGTAAGGACTAAAATTATAAAACTTCTAAAAAAGTAGGCAACTTTTTTAAGTTGCCTTAAAAAACTTAGTAAACTTAGGTTTGGCAAGATTTTTTTTTTTTTTTTTTTTGAGACAGGGTCTCCCTCTGTTGCCCAGGCTAGAGTGCAGTGACGTGATCATGAGCACACCACCACGCCCAGCTAATTTTTGTATTTTTTTGTAGAGATTGTTTTTCGCCATGTTGCTCGGGCTGATCTGAAACTCCTGGACTCAAGGGATCCACCCATCTTGGCCTTCCAAAATGCTGGGATTACAGGCATGAGGCAAAAATATTGTAAATAGGACAAAAGGCCACGTGAAGAAAAAAAATAAAAATGACTGGTATAGCAAGTGTTGTTGAGGAGATGAAGCAAAACCTGAACTCTGATAGAGTGCTGACACAACTGACACAACTGCTTTGTTCAACAGTTTGGCAGTTTCTTATAAAGTTAAATGTACACCTATTTTATAACAGCAATTTCATTTCTACACATTTATCCATAAGAATTGAAAGCGTATGCTCGCAAGAGACTGGTAAGCAAATGCTTATAGCATATCATTTATATTAACTGCAAACTTGAAACAACCCTACTGGCCATTAACAGGTGAATGAATAAACTGACTGTAGTGTATTAATATAATGGAATTCTACACAACAATAAAAAGGAATTAACTAATAATACTTACAACAATGTGAATAAATTTCAAAAATAATTTTAAGTGAAAGATATCAGACAGGAAAGAGTACATTTGATATGGATTCAACTTAAGTGAAAGCTAGCAAATGCAAAAAAAGTCTACAGTGACAGAAAACAAATCAATGGTTGCCTAGGGACAGAGGAACTGAGGAGGGAGGAATGGGTAACAAAGAGGCATGAGGAAACATCCAAAAAATTGCATGTTTTAAATGTGCAATTTAATGCACAGCAATTATAACTTAATAAACCTGTGAAGAAATAGAAAAAGAAGAAGGATGAGCAGGATGAGAAGGAGGAGAAACTGCACAGCCCAATAATCACTTGCTTTATCCAGTTTAAAAAAAAATAAAAATAAACCTCCACATGCAATCTTTTTGACACAGATAGCCTGAGACTAATTTATAAATCACACTAGCTAAAGTTAGCAAAATGCCCCTAGAATATCTGTCAGGCTAGAATAGCATTGATTTATGGGCTGGACATGGTTGATTGCAAATGAGTGGTTAAATATTAAGGACAATGTGAGTGTGGGTTGGAACCAGGTTTGGGGTAAGAAACCAAAATATTTGTGCTATATGGTTTTATAAAGCATGTCTATTTGGATCATATTGGACCCTCCTAATAATCCTATGAATTAAATCACATTATAATTGCTATTATTAACATTTTGGTAACAAGAAGGAATGTCAACTACAATAAATGACTTGGCAAGTAATACTTGGCTTTGGTTTTTATCTTCTTATGCTAAATCCCAGGCGCATTTCACCACAAAGTCCTGCGGATTTGAATTAGAAATGAATGGAAATCCACAGTACTCAACGTGAATTGCAACAATAAAACATTAAGTAAGGAATGATTAGTTTGAGGAAAGGATATTATATATTGCTTCCCAGAGAAAGTGATTCATAAACCAAATCCTGAAGGAACAAACTAGGATAGATTTGTTAATAGGAGTTACACAGTATCTAGATCATTAAATAGGGAATCGTTAAATGTGTGCTGAATAATGCAAGTTATTTAAGTAATTGAGAATAGTATGAAAAAAGTCATAGAATAGGGGAGGAAGGAGATGTAAAATTTCTGTGGCAGTGTTAGTAAGAAGCCTGGCCAAGTTAAAGAAAAACATTACTAAGTGGGGCCAACAGAGAGATCCGAGGAAAGGAGATAGAAGGGGAGGTTTACACAAGAAGGTTCAGAAACACATGTATTATCCTTAAAACAGGGTTAGTGCAGCCAAGGGGTGAATAGACTGGACGCTAGAATTAGACTGTCTGCCTTAATAGACAGGTCATATTTGTTATAACTATGGAACAGTGGGTGAGTTTGTTACCTCTCCATGCCTCAGCATCTTCACAGTAAAATGGGAATAGTAACAGTACTTTCCTCTTTTTAAGAATTAAAAGTGTCATTACATATGTGCTTATGACTGTAGCATAGTTAGCATCATATAATGTCTTACATTAACCAATAAGAAAAAAAAAAACAAAATTCTGTAATACCTGGTGCACTGATATTACACAATAAATTGTCACTGAAGTGTTTGACATATTGATATTCGATCCCTCTTTTAATGAAGGCACTTGCAGTAAACACCAGCCTCTCTAAAGTTATTTTATTTATGGGTTCCTTTCAGCTCTAAAGGGATTACTGGCATTGCTTCTTTTTCTGGTGCCTATTATTATGTGGAAGCACATATTATTGCTGCCAGACTGGTTTCAAAGCAAAATATACTTTTTCACTCAAGACTCTGTAATTTAATATTGTCTAAGGTGTAAAAGCTGGTGATATATAACAAGGACTTTTGAGCTATTTTATAATTAATTGGCCTTTTCTTCTCTTTTTTAGAATTCATTGCAGATTAAAGTAGGCATTATGATTTCAATGGAACAAAAGAGTTATCTTCAAAACATGTCACAACTGCCTGGGAAAGCTCATAATAAGAAGCTACTAATGAGAACCTGCTAATAAGCAGCTCAAAAATACCTCAAAATAACTCAACCATGAGCTTCTCCATCCCCCAGTCCAACCTGCACACATCAAAGAGAAAAAATATGGAAGAAAATTGCATATTGATCATTACCTGAATTTTTGTTGTGGGGAACTTTTGTTGGGCACAGTTTGAGAAGCTTAATACATATGAAAAAAGGAAAATACTTAAATGGAACAAAATGTGAGTCCTATTATTAATAGACTGTTTCTATCTTTACCTCACTGGCTGTGAAAGCTGGGACAATGCTTTTCTTTATTTTTTTCTTTCTTTTTCTTTCTTGACAATGCTTTTTTTTCTTTCTTTCTTTTTTTCTTTTCTTTTCTTTCGTGACCATAAACATGAATTTGATTAGACCTTGGTAGACTTACTTGTAGAATCCAGGGTGTGGGAACACATTCCAACTAAAATTACATCCTTAATAAAGTTGGTGATAAGTATTCCTAGATAAGGTCTAAAGAGAAAGAAAACCCATTAGACTATATTGAGTATTTAGTAGATATTAGTTACATCGTGGCCCTCCAATAATGATTGTTCTTACCATTTTCCTTTAAAAAAAATCACATTTGTACCATTATCTGTTGTGTATTTTAGGTGGGGTTCCACATCCCTTTTGAAAAGAAAGGTTTTATGTGAACAATGTATCTTGGAATCAGTCCATCATAAACTTCTGACTTCTATAACTAGATCGAGATGCTCATATGACCAGTAAGAGTCTATTATAAACAATGACTTTTGCTTGTAATTTAGAAAAATGGATTTTCCTCTTACTACCAGAAGAGATGTGAGAGGTTTTGAGATCTGGAGCTTCTCCAGCCACTGTGCAATAATAAGAAGAGAGCCTGTTTGAGAATGAATCCATTTGAAATGACACCGAGAAGAAATTTTACTCAACCAAGTTTACTGTTTTTCACTTTTCATACGTTTTTGAGAACTTTCAGGAGGATGAATATTTGTAGTTGACAAAATATATTGCATGAGAAATTGTAACTCTCTTCAACCATTCACTTTCTCAAGATAAAAAGAAACAAGTGACTTCGCCTGTCATCCCAGCACTTTGGAGGCCGAGGCGGGTGAATCACTTAAGGTTAGGAGCTCAAGAGCAGCCTGGCTAAAATGGTGAAACCCATTCTATACTACAAATACCAAAAATTACCCAGGCATGGTGATGCGCGCCTGTAATCCCTCCTACTTGAGAGGCTGAGGGACGGGAATTGCTGGAACCCGGGAGGTGGAGGCTGCAGTGAGCCAAGATCGCACCACGGCACTCCAGCCTGGGAGACAGAGTGAGACTACATCAAAAAAAAAAAAAAAAAAAAGGAAAAATAAAAAAAAGTAACTTATCTGTACTTTTCTGATGCTAAATTGTAAGACTCATTTTTTTTTGTTGTTATTGAACATGTTTTATAAATTTTTTAATAGACATCACTGATGTTTTACAAGCCCCTTGTGTTTAGCAAACCTATTTCTGGTGTTTTGTTTTTGGTGGTGTTTTTCTTCATGCTAATTAATTTTTCTAAGATTATTTCTGAATGTGTTCTGAACATAGGACCCAAGTATATAGGATATCACAGATATCCTATCACAGATATCCTATCACAGATATCACAGATATCCTATCACAGATATCACAGATATCCTATAAGTCTGAGAACTAGCTGTCATCATTTCATGGTCTTTTAAATTTTAAATCTCAAGTAGCTAAAGTCTGAATAACATTAAAATATAAATAGACATTTAAAACTAGTTTTTAGAGAAATTGACAGTGAATTCAACTACACATATGTCACATAGTAATTGAATGCATTACCACTAAACTTTTTTTTGAACAATTTCTTGAAATTCAGTCTTTAATATATGTTCCCTGTGGTTTATCAAACTCTAAATGTCTGTTTGGTAAAAACTCAAGTTAGAGATATGGTAAGTAAATGACATAGCAATGCCTTTACATTGTACTTTTAAAATAAATTAGTGATTTCCAATTCCAGAAATAGCAGAGTGGCTTGTTTTGAAATAACCAGATCAAAGATAACATTTACAAACTCTGTGGGATGGGGGTGAGGGAAACAGTTGTAAGAAAGCATTAGAGAGCTATTTAAGTCAGGAATAAACTTCAGAGAATTCAATTCTCCACAGTGTAATTCAACAGGATGAGATCCAAGTATCCATGTCTTTCCCCTGCTGATATTTCCAAATCTGCATGAGTGTGGCAGTTAGAACTCAAGCAAAATGCTGTTGTGCTATCAGCTTAAGATTTCACAAAACAGAATTTTAGGTAACCCAAGTGACTGGAAATTAAAGAGGTAAGTTCTAGAAAGAAGGAAGTCAAAGCTGAGCCTACCCAAAATATATCTATAAACTCCTCTTAATGACATGACTTACTCCTAAGCTGCCTAGCCATGCAAGAAAGTACAAAGAGCCAAGTAAAAAATCAAGCAAATAAAACAAAACAAATAAACTAAAGCAAAATAAAAACCAAAGGACTGAAAGACCAAGAAGAGAGTCCAGGCTCTGCCAAAGCCTGGTAGGGTAGGAAGCAAAGTTTGGAGTTTGAGTCTTGCCAAATTAAAGGTGCTTAAAAAAAACCTTGAGTTTTCCAAAGTGTGCCTTACGAAGTATAAAACCAAGCCTTTACAAGTTCAAAGTGAATTACCAGCAACTTAACAGATGCATCAAAAGCTATAAACTAAAGTGTAATAAAAAAATCAAAAAACCTCTAGTAGGATACTGTTAAGAGTGGCCGGGCTTTTGGTATGCAGCTGTGGTCCCAACTACTTGGGAGGCTGAGGCATGAGAATCACTAGAACCTGGGAGGCAGATGTTGTAGTAAGCTGAGATCAGGCCACCACTGCACTTGCACTCCATCCTGGGCAACAAAGGGAGATTATCCACCCACGCCACCCCCACCTCAAAAAAAAAAAAACCTGCACGAGATTGCTACAGGAAATTAAAGATGACCTAAATAAATGAAGACATGTATCATGTTCATTAATTAAATAGCCAAATATTGCTAAGATTTCAACTGATCTAAAAAGATAAGAAGTGATTCAAGTCAAAATTCCCACAAAATGGTTTCTCGTAATAATTGATGAGTTGTGAATAAAATGTGTATAGACATTTAAAATAACTTTTGCAGCCTAAAAGAATGTTGAGTTAAAAAAAAAAAAACAGTTGAAAGGCTCCACACTACTTGTTTCAAGTCTTAATATTCCTTACTATGAAGTTACAGTGATTAAGATAGTGTTTTCTTGAGTATATCCAGAAAAAGAAATCAATAGAAGAGAAGGAGGTACACATATAAGGTCAGTTGCTTTCTGACAAAACACAAAGGCAATTCAATAGAGAAAGAATATTTTTCAAAAAATGGTCTTAGAACTGCTGGATATCCACATAGAAAAGAAAACTAACATCAACACCTACCTGAAGTTATACGCAAAAATTTATGTCAGATGAAACATATATTTAAAGTGAAGTCTTCTAAGAGAAATCATAGAAGGACATCCTAATAACCTTGGAATATAAGAGGATTTTTTAGAAAGAACAAAATGCACCAACCAATAAAGAAAATAGATTAGAATTTATAAGAATTCAGGCCAGGCGCAGGGCTCACACCTATAATCTCAGCACTTTGGGAGGCCAAGGCGGGTGGATCACAAGGTCAGATGTTCGAGACCAGCCTGCCTAACATGGTTAAAACCCCATCTCTACTAAAAATACAAAAATTAGCTGGGCATGTTGGTGGGTGCCTGTAATCCCAGCTATTCCTGAAGCTGAGGCAGGAGAATTGCTTAAACCCGGAAGGCGGAGGTTGCGGTGAGCTGAGATCTGGCCACAGCACTCCAGCCTGGGCAACAAAGCAAGACTCGGTCTCAGAAAAAAAAAAAAAAAAAAAAAAGAATTTATCAAAACTAGAATTTATGCTCATCAAATCTTACTTTCAAATAAAGAAGGTAAGTCAGATATAATATTTATAATGCATGCATTTGACAAAGCATTTGTACCAGCAATAAAAAGAACTCATACAATAGCAAAAAACAACTCGAGAAATTGAGCAAGACACATGAATAGACACTTTACAAGTGAAGATGTACAGATAGCTGGCTAACAATCACATAAGGATGATCAACACCATTAATCATCAAATTAAACTCATAATGTGGTATCATTTCAAATTTTCTAAAATTACTAAAACTTAAAAGACATGTATACTATGTATTTGGTAAGAAATACAGCTATGGCCGGGCATGGTGGCTCACACCTGTAATCCCAGCACTTTGGGAGGCCAAGGCGGGCTGATCACCTGAGGTCAGGATTTCAAAACCAGCCTGACCAACATGGAGAAACCCCATCTCTACTAAAAGTACAAAATTAGCCAGGCCTGGTGGCACATGCCTGTAATCCCAGCTACTGAGGAAGCTGAGGCAGGAGAATCACATGAACTTGGAGGCAGAGGTTGCGGTGAGCCGAGATTGTGCCATTGCACTCCAGCCTGGCAACAAGAGCAAAAAATCCATCTGGAAAAAAAAAAAAAAAAAAAAAAAAAAAAAGGCCTGGCGCGGTGGCTCATGCCTGTAATACCAGTACTTTGGAAGGCCGAGGCGGGCAGATCACGAGGTCGGGAGATCAAGATCATCCCGGCTCACATGGTGAAACCCCATCTCTGCTAAAAATCCAAAAGATTGGCCGGTTGTGGTGGCGGGCACCTGTGGTCCCAGCTGCTGGGGGAGTGGGGCTGAGGCAAGAGAATGGCTTGAACCCGGGAGGCGGAGCTTGCAGTGAGCAGAGATCCCACCACTGCACTCCAGCCTGGGCAACAGAGTGAGACTCCGTCTCAAAAAAAAAAAAAAAAGAGAAAGAAATATAGCTATTAGAACTCTCCTCTACTGCTGGTGGGAATATGAAATGGTACACACTCTGCAAAACTATTTGGCAGCTTCTTTAAAATTAAACGTATTTGAAGACCCATGATTCATCAATTCTGCTTTTAGATATTAAGAAAAATATTTACTTAAGAAAAATTAAAATATATACATATATATATCCACAAAAGACTCTGCAAGAATGTTTGTAGCAGCTTAATTCTAAATAACACCAAATTGCAAATAACTCACATATTGTCATAAGAAGTCTGGATAAATAAATTGCAGTATATTCCTATTATAGAACACAACTTAGCAATGAAAAATAATAAGATACTGATATACATCGAAATATGGAAAAGATTTCAAAAACATAGAAGCACAAAGGAATATCTTTTATGATTACATTCATGTGAAATTCAAGAACAGGCAAAATTAAACTATGGGTAGGGATGAAAAACATAGGTAGTCTCTAGGGAACAGTGAATGGCTGAAAAGGTGTATGAGCATTGGGGTACAAGTATGTGTTTAAAAACTTCTCTGTGGAAGGGAAAAACCCTAATTCACAAAATTTACTATTTGTATATTTCAAACAACCATTGGGAAGTTGAAGTCACTGAATACAGAATCAGGAAATTGCAATAGCATAACAAAATCTAATATTTCTTTTTTTTTGTTCATGTCATCATAAATTTATTTTCAGGCAATATGATAATATAACTTCATGAGCACAAGAGAACAGTAATATATAGTAAAATAATTATTAGTAGGATATTTTATTATACATCTATTTTGTTTTTAATATAATGTATTTAGTTGTAAGTTTAGATAATTATTTTTAATAAAACTTGTGTTTAACAAATAGTTCATAAAATTCCTGAAAATTTGTCAATCTTCTCTTGTAAATTTTTATAAGACATCTTCAGCAAACCCTTGGAAGAGGGGACTTTCTGAGGTATTGGCAATGTTCCATGTCAACAGGAATGGTAGTTTCATGGATGCATATATTTATCAAAACTTAGCAATTCTCCACTTATGTTCATTTATCATTATATAATTTTTACCTGAAAACTACATGTTATTAATAGTATGCTTTAAGATAGGTACTTTAGGATCATAAATGCTCACTTTTTCTGGGTTCCTTG